>NT_187539.1:0-184404 GCF_000001405.40 Homo sapiens | reverse complement strand
ATGCCCCTGACCACGACCCTAGTGAGTAGACCCCACTGAACAGGCACCCGCTGCTGAGATCCCTGCTGACCAGGTCACCCCACAGACCAGTGCTACAAAAGCCACAACTGACCCAGTCTTCTCTGACCAGGCCCCCGTTGATTCGGTTCCACTGACCAGGCTGCCCTGACCAGGACCCCACTGACAAGGGCCTCGCTGATGAGGACACGCCCACCAGGCCATGCTGACTAGGTCCCTTGTGGTCAGGCCTCCACTGAATAGCACCCCTTGACCTGGTCACCAGTGCCCCAGCTCATGCTGACCAGGCCACCACTAAGCCCCAGTTGACCACTAAGCTCCACTGACCAAGCCCCACAGCCCAAGTTTGCACTGACCAGACACCAAACAACTGGCTGCCACTAGGTCTCCACTCACTAAGACCCCACTACTAGATCCCCCTAATGAGACCCTCTCTAAACAGACCCCTGCTGACCATGCCCCCATTAAACAGGCCTCGCTGACTAGGTCAGTCCCAACTGACTGGGTCCACTGACCAGGCCCACGCTGATCAGGCCCCTCCTAACCATACCAGAAGGCCAAGCGGCAATGAGACATTTCATATGGCAGGAGTAGGAGCAAGACAGAGAGAGGAAAGAAGAGCCACATCTTGTTATAAGACCAGATCTCAGGATAACTCACTATCAGGAGATCAGCATCAAGAAGATTAACCATTGGTGAAGGATCCGCCACCCACACCACCGCCCACTGTTTCCAGGCAGAAGCCTCCTGCAGAGGCAGAACCTCTTGGAAAACCTCTGCTAGGGCAGTGCAGAAGGAAACTATGGGCTTGGAGCCCCCACACAGGAGGCCACCATCCTCCAGAGCCCAGATTCATAGACAAACCAACGGCTCACACCCTCAGTATGGAAAAGCTACAGGCACTCCACACCAACCCAGCCCATGAGAGCAGCCATGGGGGCTAAAGCCTGCAAAGCCACAGGTGCACTGCCCTAGTAGAGGTTTCCCATGAGCCTCTGCCTCTGCAGCAGGTTACCCCCCTTCCTGCTACCCCTACCCTCTCACCACCCTACTGCCAACATACTCCTCCCTACCCTACCCACTCCTTTTTCTTCCACCCCAACACCCTCCTGTCATGATTAAATCACCTCCCACCAGGCCCCACCTCCAACATTCAGGATTACAATTCACTTGAGTTTTTCTAGGGAAACACAGACAAACCATATTATTCAAACCCTGAGCCCACTGAATCTCATGTCCTTCTCACAGAGCAAAATACAATCAAGCCTTTACAAAAGTTCCCAAAAGTCTTCAATCATTCCAGCATTAATGCAAATGTAACAATTCCACATCTCATCTGAGACAAGGCTACAGTCCCTTTGCCTATGAGTCCCTGAATGTAAAAGGGAGTTCTTTTCTTTCAAGGTACGGTGATGGTAAAGGCATTGGGTAAGCTTTCTCAATCCAAAGGGAAGAAATTTCCTGGGAAAATAACACAAATGGGACCACAGGCCCAATGCAAGTCCAAACCCAGAAGCCCAGTATCCATTCAATCTCACAGCTCCAAAATCATGAAGATAACTCACTATCACAAGGACAGCAATAAGGAGATGGTGTTTAATCATTTGTGAAGGGTCCACCCCCTCGCCACTTTTCACCCCTCACCCCCACCATAGTCCCCCATTTTCCCTATGCCCCCACCTTCCAACCCCCACTCCCCACCATGATTAAATCACCTTCCACCATGCCCCACCTTTAACAATCCCGACTACAATTCCACATGAGTTTTGGCAGGGACACAGAGCTAAATTTTATTATTCTGTCCCTGACTCCTAAAATCTCATGTCCTTCTCACATTGCAAAATACAATGATGCCTTCCCTACAGTCCCCTAAAGTCTTACATCGTTCCAGCATTTATACAAATGTCCAAAGCTTAAAGTGTCATCTGACACAAGGCTACAGTCCCTTAGGCCCATGAGCCTCTGAAATATAAAGCAAGTTAACTACTTCCAAAGCACAGTACTTGCACAGGCAATGGGTAAGCATTACCAGCCAAAAGGGAGGATTTTGCCAGAAAGAACAAAGCACAGATAGGACTTACAGTCTCCAAACCCAGAAGGCCAGTCATTCAATCCTAAAGCTCCAAAATCACCCTTTTTGAAACCTTGTCCCACATCCAGGGCACAAGGGTGTGAGGGCTGGGCTCCCAAGGCCTTGGGCAGCTCTGCACCTGTGGCTTTGCAGAGTTTACACCCCACGGCTGCCCTCATGGGCTGGGCTGGCATTGAGTGCCTGTAGCTTTTCCCCACTGATGGTACAAGCTGTTGGGAGGGGGGTGTTCTATAAATCTGGGGTCTGCATGATGGTAGCCTCCAGTGTGGGGGCTCCAACCCCATATTTTCCTTTGGCACTGCTCTAGTAGAGGTTTCTTATGAGGCTCTGCCTTTTGGGGATGCTTTTGCCTGGACACCCAGGCATTTCCATACATCTTCCAAAATCTATACAGAGGCTCCCAAGCCTCTAGTCTCATGCTCTGTCCACCTAGTGGCTTAACACTATGAGGAAGTTACCAAGGCTTCTAGCTCACATCCTCTGAAGCAGTGACACAGGCTGTATCTGTGCATCTTTCAGCCATGGCTGGAGCTGCAGCTGGAGCTGCAGGGATGCAGGCAGCAGTGTCCTGAGGCTGCACATAGAGGGAGATCATGGGACTGGCCCAGGAAACCATACTTCTCTCCTAGGCCCCAGGGCCTGTGACAGCAAGGGCTGCTGTAAATGTCTCTGAAATGCCTTCAAGGCCTTTTTCCTATTGTCTTGGCTACTAGCACTGGACTCCTTTTTATGCAAATTTCTGAACCCTTCCAGAATTTTTCCCCTGAAAATCAGCTTTTCTTTTTGACCAATTGGCCAGGCTGCAAATTTTCCAAACTTTTGAGTTTGCTTCTCATTTAATATAAGAGTTGGGACTCATTTAATATAAGTCCGAATCAGAGGTCACTGCCTCAGTCACACATAAAAGCACAGGCTGTTTGATGCAGACAGGACACATCTTGAGCTTTGCTGCCTAGAAGTTCATTCCACCAGACATGCACTAAGTCATCACCCTCAAGTTCAAAGTTTCACAGTGCGGACGGCAAGTCATCCAGGTGCCGAGGCAAGAGACTGAGGGCACGAGCTGTTCCAGTATAATAAAATATATAAAACAACAAGAGTTATACTAGATCTAGATCATAGACATGATTATCTATGAATATCATTCATCATTAGTTTGTAGCAATGACTCTTTATTCCAATATTATAATAATCCTCGCTCTATAATCATAACCTAGGAAAAGCCAGGCCATACAGAGACAGGAGCTGAGGGCACATAGTGAGAAGTGACCGAAGACGAGTGCGAGCTTTTCTGTCATGCCCGGACAGGGCCACCAGAGGGCTCCTTGGTCTAGCGGTGACGCCAGCGTCTGGGAAGACGCCCGTTGCCAAGCGGACTGTGGTCTAGCAGTAGCATCAGTGTCAAGGAAAAACACCCACTACTTAGCAGACCAGGAAAGGGAGTCTCCCTTTCCCCTGGGGAGTTTAGAGAAGATTCTACTCCTCCACTTCTTGTGGAGGGCCTGACTGATGTCAGGCCCACCCGCAGTTATCCGGAGGCCTAACCGTCTCCCTGTGATGCTATGCTTCAGTGGTCACGCTCCTAGTCCGCTTTCATTTTCCACCCTGTACACCTAGCTCTGCCTTTTAGATAACAGTAGCAAAATTAGTGAAAGTACTAAAAGTCTCTAATACGCAGAAATAATGGTGTAAGCTGTCTCTCTCTCTCCCCCCTCTCTCTGCCTTGGCTGCCAGGCAGGGAAGGGCCCCCTGTCCAGTGGACACATGACCCACGTGACCTTACCTATCATTGGAGATGGCTCACACTCATTATCCTGCCCCTTTTGCTTTGTATCCCATAAATAACAGTGCAGCCAGGCATTCAGGGCCACTACCAGTCTCCGCATCTTGGTGGTAGTGGTCCCCTGGACCCAGCTGTCTTTTCTTTTATCTCTTTGTCTTGTGTCTTCATTTCTACACTTTCTTGTCTCCACATATGGGAGAAAACCCACCGACCCTGTAGGCTGGAGCCTATATCACAGATCTCCAGGGCAGGGTCGCCGTGAAGCCATGTTCTCTGCTACAGCAAATCAAAAGTACCCTTGGCTTCTGTTCCTAGTAAGTTCCTCATTTTCATCTGAGACCTTCTAAGTCTGGCCTTTACTGTCCATTTTCCTGTCAGGCTTTTGATCACGAGTATTTAACAATTCTTTACAAAGATCCAAACTTTCCCTCATCTTCCTGTCTTCAAAGCCCTCCAAACTCTCCTGACCTCTGTTTGCTAGCCCCTTCTGAACTTGCTTCTGCATTATCAGCTATCTTTGTTGCAGCCTGGCAATGTGGTAAAGGAAGACAAGTCCATTTTGAGGGGAAAAATTCAAGAAGGCTTCAGATACTTGAATGAAAAGAAGCTGAGTGCTGATTGTCAAGACAACAGGGAAAAGGCCTTGAAGACATCTGATAGCTCCACTTTGCAGTACTAATATTCTCTATGATCATAAAGAAAAGAGCTTTAATCGGCCCATGATTCTGCAGGACTCAGGAAGCCACCCAATCATACCAGAATATCAAGGGGCAATGAGACGAAGGAGGTGGCACACCCTATTATACAACCAGATCTCCTGAGAAAAAGGAAACAGGCAGTTTTAGAAAAAAAGGAAAGGGACAGAGATATGTGTTGACGTAAAGACTTTGAAGAAGAGATCTAGAGATCTTTCCTGACAAAATGTCAACAAAATGAAAGATATGCAGAACCATGTAGAGAAAGGCAATGACAGAAAAATGTTCATTAGAATCAGAAAACCAACTTAAGTGCTCAGTAAATAAATAGAAAAGTAGCTGTGTTCAGGGCTTCAAAGACACATTCCATTTAAAAAAAAACTGTGATCAAAACATGAATGCTCATTTTACTCTTTTTAAGTTATGCATATATTTATATATATATAAAATTTATTTCTGTAAGACAGAAGTTTAATAGCATGTATACTTCATGTATACAACAGAAGGGCCCATGTAAAATGAGTAAATTTCCATGATATGTTTTATATTTAAAAGAAAAAGAGGCAGAAACAAAATACAAGCTACATATCAAGATAAATTTTGATGTTAAAGAATGACACGAATAGGTCT
Organism: Homo sapiens; assembly: GCF_000001405.40. Taxonomy (NCBI): domain Eukaryota; kingdom Metazoa; phylum Chordata; class Mammalia; order Primates; family Hominidae; genus Homo; species Homo sapiens. The sequence continues at coordinate 179,186 of NT_187539.1, read as the reverse complement.
CCTTTAAAGAATTTGAATGCAGCAGAGAAGGATACTGCAAAAGAAAGTTGACCAAAGACAGCAAAAATATCTTCAGAAATTATAATTGAAACTAGATAATGAAGAGTGCAGTTGACATTACATGTTCAAGGCTTTCTCATTATTGTTTTCAAAATCATTAAAGAATAAATGGCTGGGTGCAGTGGCTCACACCAACTTTTTGAGACCCAGGTGGGCAGATCACAAGGTCAGGAGTTCGAGACCAGCCTGACCAACATGGTGAAACTCCGTCTCTACTAAAAATACAAAAATTAGCCAGGTGTGGTGGTGCATGCCTGTAATCCCAGCTACTCAGGAGGCTGAGGCCAGAGAAATGCTTGAACCTGGGAGGTGGAGGTCGCAGTGAGCAGAGAATGCACCATTGCACTCCAGCCTGGATGACAGACTCAGACTCTGTCTCCAAAAAAAAAAAAAAAAAAAAAGAAGTGTAGCATTTTGGCATTCAAAAAAATTTCAGATTGTGTTGTTTCTTTTTTTATATGTTTTTAATATAAATTTTTTCATCCCAACCTTGCCCCAGCAGCTCAGCTGACTCCCGCCCCCATGACGCACATGCCTATAATGTTGTGAGTTTCCAAAATACATTTTAAAATAGATTTCGTTTAATTATGAAAATGCAGACATAAAATGAATTTGTATCTAGGTTTTAATCAAGTAATATTAGAGTTAAGTCAATTAATAAATGATTAAAATGTTCTACAATATGAAAACCATACCCAGATGCCTCTTCCTCTAATTCATGATTTTTCTTCCTTATTTGATCCACATTATACTCCAGTGATGATATTAACTCAAAAAAAGTTTTCTTAATTCTTCATTTTCTTCTTCAGGCTTGAAAAAGAAAGTGTTGCAATAAACATGCACACCTATGTTTATTGCAACACTTTCTTTTTCAAGCCTGAAGAAGAAAATGAAGAATTAAGAAAACTTTTTGAGTTAATATCTTATTCACAGTAGCAAAGACTTGGAACCAACCCAAATGTCCAACAATGACAGACTGGATTAAGAAAATGTGGCACATATACACCATGGAATACTATGTAGCCATAAAAAGTGATGAGTTCATGTCCTTTGTAGGGACATGGATGAAGCTGGAAACCATCATCTCAGCAAACTATTGCAAGAACAAAAAACCAAACACCACATGTTCTCACTCATAGGTGGGAATTGAACAATGAGAATACATGGACACAGGAAGGGGAACATCACACTCTGGGGACTGTTGTGGGGTGGGGGAGGGGGGAGGGATAGCATTAGGAGATATACCTAATGCTAAATGATGAGTTAATGGGTACAGCACACCAACATGGCACATGTATACATATGTAACAAACCTGCACGTTGTGCACATGTACCCTAAAACTTAAAGTATAATAACAAAAAAATTTAAAAAAGGCTTTTATTTGGCAATAGTTTTAGATTATTCTAGGTTGCAGATAGTACAGAGAGTTCTTGTATAACCCTCACCTGGTTTCCTCTAATGTTAACATTTTACATAACAATGGTACATTTGTTGAAATTAACATTGGTACATTACTATTAACTAAACTCCAGACTTTATTCTTAAAAAAAAAAAAAAAGAAAAAAAGAAAGTGTTTAAAATTATTTTTGTAAAATCTAGAGACCCTGTTCTATCTTAAAAATGTTATTTCTCATAAGTTGATGAATAATATGTATTTAGGCAGGTGTATAAAGCACATTTTATAAACCTGACGCCAATAAGGACAGATTTCAAAAATAGACACTTTTCTTAAAACAGCTAAAAATGATTTATACTTTCATCATTATCTTTTCTGAAATTTAAGCTGCCAAAAATGAGGGTTAAAAGTGGGGGTTTTTACACATAAAATACTAAGGGTTAGTAAAAAAAAAAAAAAGAGTAGTTATATTTACATTTTAGTTTTTAAAGATGCTTTAGAAACATTGTCATTAATAGTTAAAGATATTCCAAGTTTTGTTAAATTACATCTTACTAAGATGATTTTTAGAAAACTCTTATCTAGTTCCCATTACATTTTTGATCCTCATCTGTCTTCAGGCTGATCTAAATATTCTCTGTTAGTATTCACCCATAGATTTCAGTTTTTTCCCTTTCTCTTAATCATTTCTCTTTAAATAAAGATTTTTTCTATAATAAAAACATAACTTTTGTCTACTTTTTGTAGATTTTCTATTATCCTGCTTCTCCCCTTCCATTGGACTCTATGACACATGGTCTCATCCAGAGATCTATTTTTCATCACTTATTGTGTTTTTTATACCGCAATCTGATTTTTAAATAATTCCAATAAAAAAGTGCAAGGGTCATGAAGGACTTTATCCTGCTTTACTCAGCAGCAACTGCGAGTAGACCAAATGCTCCCTCTGCTCCTCTGAACCCACTTTATTTCTAAATGCAGCAACCTCTGATGTTCAGTCCTATTCCTTTCTATTCCTGTTTTTTTGTTTGTTTTTTGTTTTTTTGTTTTTGTTTTTTTTTTGAGACGGAGTCTTGCACTGTTGTCCAGGCTGGAGTGCAGTGGCGTGATCTCCGCTCACTGCAACCTCTGCCTCCCAGGTTCAAGCGATTCTCCTGCCTCGGCCTCCCACGTAGCTGGGATTACAGGTGCCCACCACCATGCCTGGCTAATTTTTTGTATTTTTAGTAGAGACGGGGTTTCACCATGTTGGCCAGGTTGGTCTTGAACTCCTGACCTCATGATCTGCCCACCTCGGCCTCCCAAAGTGCTGGGATTACAGGCATGAGCCATCACGCCCAGCCACTATTCCTCTTTTAAATTCTCTCAGGACTCCTAAAATCTCAAAATTTTGACCCAGATTCCCTAATCTACATTTCCAGCTCTGACCTTCTTCTTGAGGCCTCTTCTTTCTAGTACACATATTATAGACAATATTCTCAACCACACACTCAGACATTGCCACTTGGTGCAGGTTACTTTTGTAGATAGTGAATCATGTCTATTTTATGTTGATTCTTATTGATGTTACTGTGCATATAGTGTTATTTTCTAATCTCGAAGGGGGATCGTCTCACCCTTAGGATATTGACCAGCATACTTTGTCCTTTTTTTTTCTTTTCTTTTTTTTGAGATGGAATCACACTCTGTCATCCAGGCTGGAGTGCAGTGGCAACATCTTAGCTCACTACAACTTCCACCTCTTGGGTTCAAGTAATTCTCCTGCCTCAGCCTCCCAAGTAGCTGGGACAGAGGTGCACACCACCATTCCTGGCTAATTTTTATATTTTTAGTAGAGACAGGGTTTCACCATATTGGCCAGGATGATCTCGATCTCTTGACCTCATAATAATGGCAATAAGGAAATTATCTAAAAATACTATTTAACAGGAAAAAAGCCAATTTTCTGTGAGGAATGATGTATACTTCTCAACTTTCCCAAGAGAAAATATTGTAAAACGTATGCAATTATTTTTCAAAATGGCAGAATAAAAGCCAGAGTTTAAGAAATAAGTACATTATAAAGGTAATAAAATGGTAATAATTAATTATAATAAAAATAAAAAATCAAGCTGTCCACTGAAATTAGTATCCTAAAACAGTTTATATTATTCAACCAGCTACAGATTAACTGTCGACATGTTAAATTCCATACATATTTGACTTCCTACTTGAAATATAATTTCTTCTCTGAAGCCCATGTCTCATCCAAATTAATATGACAATGTGATGTACCTTCCAGTGGAGACTCTGACATAGGAAATTTTTTAAGATGACTGGCCAGTTGTTCTTGAGGTTACCTTACAGTCTCCTGATAAAATATTTTTGTTATTAATTTTATAAATTGCCTTATTATTAAATTATGTTAATATTTAACTCTAACATGCATACTTTGAAAATTATTACCACACACATAGATTAGCTTTCTTTTTCTCATATGTATACATTCTCCTTTATTACTGAATTCAGTGAGGAACATAGAAGGTGTTGTCTTCGGCCGGGCGCGGTGGCTCACGCCTGTAATCCCAGCACTTTGGGAGGCCGAGGCGGGCGGATCACGAGGTCAGGAGATCGAGACCATCCCGGCTAAAACGGTGAAACCCCGTCTCTACTAAAAATACAAAAAAATTAGCCGGGCATGGTGGCGGGCGCCTGTAGTTCCAGCTACTCGGGAGGCTGAGGCAGGAGAACGGCGGGAACCCGGGAGGCGGAGCTTGCAGTGAGCCGAGATCGCGCCACTGCACTCCAGCCTGGGCGACAGAGCGAGACTCCGTCTCAAAAAAAAAAAAAAAAAAAAAGAAGGTGTTGTCTTCCTGCCAAATTGGTATTCTCTTACATGACAGATTGATTCAGCCCACTATTCATTCATCTCAGACCCTCAACTCAACCTGAGTTCCTCACACATTCAGTCACCTGTTCAAATCCTTCCAACAGATTCCTATCTCAGAGTAAAAGTAAAATTCCAACGGCCTTCAAGTCCCTAGATAACATGGCCTCTACCTCCCTCCCTGAGCTCAGCTCCTACAACTCTGTCCCATACTCACTTCATTCCCACTCTACATGAACTCTGCCACCCCTCATTAGTCTGAAAATGGGGATTCAATGTCAAACTCACAAATCACAGACAGCTACAAGTATCTTTGTACTGGACAAAGTTATATCCAAATGACAGTCATGGAGACTTGAAATGTAAATTATGAGCTAATTATTAATAAAAATATTCAAAGTAAATTATAAATACCTACCAGTGGGAACATTAAATCAAATATTTTTTGCTAAAATTTACCACATTTATTCCAAATTGTGATTTTATAACAAGTAGATGTCTTTAAAATATTAAGTGGTCAGAAAAATACATAATGTGAGACTGACATATTTTCAGACTTAAGTCACATTGATATGAATCAAAATAAAGTTATGCCAACTAAAATACATAAAAGAGCCACTGAAGGAAAAGCACCACAAGACAGAGCAACACACTTCAGTTCATCTGGGAAATCTAGAATTAAGTGTCAAAGTGGCTCACTTAATTGAATCTTAATTTCAAAATACTTATTTCAGGTACAAGATATCAATTTATCTGCTTCATTATGGTCTTAAAATGTGACAACATAAAGACATTAAATTTATTATTTCAGCAGTATAAGACTACATACTGTATGAACATTACTCTGTAGCTACTAAAATTTCATAGGTGACATAATGTGTTTACTCAAAGGAAAGCATCTGTCAGCTCTACCTTTTATTTCCTGGAAACAAGGTATGTTTCCAAGCTGATACAGTAAACATATTTTTTTTGTTTTTTTATTAAAACAGCTTTGCTAAAATATGATTTACATACTACAGAATTTATCTGTTTTAACATACAGTTCAAAGATTTTTAGTAAATTTACCAGTCGTGCAGTCATCTTTACAATCCAGCTTTAGAACATTTTCATCACTCCAGGATGATCCCTCATGCCCATCAGCAGTCACGACCCATTTCCAGCCCCAGCCCTACAGAAACATTCATCTTCTTTCTGTCCCTATACATGTCTTTTCTGGATGTTTCATGTTAATGGAATTATACAGTATGGTAAATACATTTTCATCTATTTATTATTATATTGAACTAGATTCAACATATAGCCACAATGAAATGTTTAAATTTTCTTTCTGGAAGGTTAAATATATTTATCTTTCTTCATACTTACTTCTCCTTCTTCTTTTACATACTGAAACAGTTTTTCTTTTATAGAATTATATTCATTCATTAGTTTCTTATTTTTCTCTTCTAGAAGATCTTTCCACTCTCAAGACAGCCTCCTTGGATATTAATTACTATCTCTTTATCATTGCCTTCCTTATGAGCACCCTCTAGTTGTCGTTGAAGCAAGAGACTGTCACATTCTAGTTGACATAGTCTCTCCTCTACACAGTTGTGCTTTCCGGTGGATCGACTCCTTTAGTTTCCTCATTTGGATGAATCTGCTCCATTTCCTTTATTCGATGCTGTGCTTGCCTTTGGTCCATCTGTACACTTTCTAAAGCCAATGTCTTTTCCCTGAGAGCATCTCTTATCTCATGGAGCTTACCTTTTAAGGTATTGAACTTCATCTGAGCTTTAGAAAATTGTTCAGTAAGCAACTCATTTTTATCTTTTAGTTGAGAAACAGTAGAACTTATTTTTTTATGTACGGAAAAATTATGTGCTCTCTGTAAAACAAGTTCTAGGTCTTTCGTTTCTAAACTTTCATTGTGCTCATTTATAGCAGCAGCCAGCCTAGAATGGAAGAATTCAACTTCAGCTTCCAGTCCATCTGTGTGGTGTTCTTCCTTCTCCAATTTTGAATTCAGCCTTGTATTCTCAGCTTTGAGGCCATTAAGCTGTTGACAATACTGGGACATCGTTTTTGTTGTCATTTCCTCATTGAGTCTTGCACTTTTTTCAAAGTTAGCATTTATTTCTCTAATACTCTTAATTTCCTGAATATATTCCTTTTCCTTTTTGACACTGTCATTTTTTATTGTGTATTATTCCTGTTTGAGTGTGGCAATATCTCCCTTCAATATGCAATTTGTATATATCACATCCTTCTTTTTTCTATAACTTTGAAAATCTTAAATAAAACAAAAGAAATTTTCAGCTAGCACTCAATAAAATAACATATCATGTTTATCTCTGAAGTGAAAGAACAACCTGTACATTCATGCAATTAAAAGTTGCTGTAAGTGGATATCCAACTGGAGAAAAAGTTGAAGCAAAACCTTGAACCTTAAAGAGCATAAATTTCAAAAAGTTCAAAACTTTATTTGAAGTCAATGAATCCATAAAACTAAAAACACACACATACACACTAGAGAACTGTTAAGAATATCAGAATTGGAAAAGCCTTTCTCTGAATTACAACAAACTCAAAGCATAAAGTAAAATATTAACAAATTTGACTAAATTAAAATATTGGAAAAAGGAAATTGCATTTATACTCTGATATCTAACCCAGATACCACCCTGTAGTAAGAGCTTTACCTCCACGTGTATTTGGACCGATAAAATTTCTCAAAGTTTTAGAAGTTCTGTTTCCCTGATAATATTCTATTGTGATTTGACTCAACATTTTTAGTCAGTTATAAGAATTTCATTTACTAAATCATAAATCTAGACATTGTACTAAGCACTTCTACGTACATACATTGATGAATTTCTTATCACAATTCTTAAAAAGAGAGGTTAAAAATATAAGCAAGCTGCAGGATGTTCCCAGGGCTTCTGACTCTACTTCTAGTTCTCCACCAGATCACAGTTACTTCTGTGGTGTAAATATATCAACACAAAAACAGAGAAACAAAAAGACACAGACATAAAATGTGTCTTCTGTCTTTGTCACCTGGATTCTCCATGAAATAGCCAGATTGAGAGGAGGTGACCTTGTGGGGCTTCAGAAACAGAAAAGAAGCTTTCCCTGTTCTGCACTAAGCTGTTATTTTCCCCACTGTCTTTTATCCTTATTTTTTCACTTGGATCCTGGGATATCAAAAAAGTGAAGGTGCTCACTGAAATAGAGGAACCAAAGTTTACCACAACTCAAGGAGCAGAGTGACACTGCTGAGTTGCTAGTGCAGAATCCTAGAAAATGAGATGTTCCCCAAGTTTACATTCAATCACCACAAAAGTTTATAGCTGGAAGATATACAGAATAGTTGTCTACTCTAGCCCCATTATCTACTTGATAATAGAAGTAAAACCAATAAATATTAAATAATTCACCCAAAGCTCCTAAGGTGGCATTACCTAGCACTTCATGGCACCAAAAGGGAAGATACAATTACATATTGCTGCATTACATAAATTACCAGATAAATATATCAAATTAGTCAAATAAATTAAAAGCGTGACTTTGGCAAAGCAATTTAATGCCTCAGAGGATGGCAGGAGGCCTCATCTGCTTTTAAGAAAATCTCTAGATTTTTGTCTATCTTTAGAACACAATGTACAGAACTCAGCTTTCCACTATAGAGTCAAATGATAAATATTTGGCTGAGAAGTTATGCTACTTACATGATAAAATCATACATGTCAAAACTTACCATATTTTATTAAACAACATAATGTAAAAGTGTGATTCAACAGAAACATTGGAGAGTGGTGATTTTTTTTAAATATGCAAAAGTATATGTATTTGTTTCCAAAAATATTTAAAATGGCCATTATGGAATTATAAGTTTAAACAGCTTGAGTCAGACAAATAAACTTGCATGCATGAAAGCACATTAAACAGACGCCTTTGGCTGATAATATTTGTTACAAGTCTCCAGGCTAGATACATTTTCATGTCTCTTCTCAGTCATTGTTTCCCTCCCATCGTGTTACCATTTTATCATTTAAATAAATGTAAGTCATCTTTAAATGAATACAGTAAGAAGAATCTAGAGCTTATTTCTTTAGCAATTTTCTTTATGTTTAGCTGATTCAGAAGGTCACATGGCATATGGCTAAATTATTTTCCCAGCCCATGTGCCACTTGGAAGACTGATAGTGAGACTCAGGTTGACTAATGAACAAAGATTATGAGAGTGTTTTCCAGAACTGTCATTTAGATAGCAGCACTGATCTACTTAGACACATAATTATGCATTTAGATAACCACACTGTAACTAGACACATGAGATTTTCTTGAGTAGAAAACCAGAATGAATCAGATAATTTATAAAAAGAGAAGCAGCAAGTGAACCTCTTTCTTTTTATAGTTAAGCTTTCTTTCTTCAAAGCCAGGAACTCTACTTGTAACATGCCCACCTCATTCTTAAGCCTTTGCATATCTTGCTGTAAGTCTTCTTCTAGATATGCTTTTGATGTTCTGTCACTATGGGGTGGAGAATAACTCACATTTTCTCATGCAGGTTTCATGCTTTTATAGCTATTAGCAGTGGAACTGTCTTATGTGGCTCCCTGAAACATACTTGCCAGTCATCTTCTAAGCTTTAGAAGAGCTTCTAAGTTCCATATGGCTTGTGGAACAAGTGCTTACTGGATTTTTGTTTTTGTAAGTGTCTGTAACAGCAGAAATACTGTGGCTTTCTATCTGTATCACATGCTTCATTTCTTTAGAGTAAACAAACCACAAATCAAACAGACTTTTTGGATCTCTAGACTGAGGCCAATGTCTAATGTCTAATTTCCAATTAACGGTATTTTGGTTTATATTTTTTTGTCATTTGCATATCAAACTCTTGGTCCTCTTTCATTTCAACCATAACTACTGGGTTCCCTAATTTTTCTATTTCTGTATCATTACAACAATTCTCTTCATCTCTGAGAAACAGGCTACATGTCTGGATAGTTACAAGTTTTACAGTCTGATTTATTTTCATTTGAATAAAGCTTAGAAGATGACTGGCAGGTGTGTTTGAGGGACCCAGAGTATAAATACAATGAAAAGACAGGTTTGTGATGTTCTCCTCCTGTTCAGGCAATGCCTGGGATACTACAGAGTTCGACACTCCAAGATGCATCTGCTTCCTTGCAGTCAGGGACATGATTCATTGGGTTAGAGGGCACTTCCTTTAATTTTGTCCCTCTTTAGAGTAACTATGTAAGAGCTCTTCCTCAGGACAAACAGTAATTTTGGATTTTTCAAAACTTTCACCAATTTTCAGTTGAACTTTCTTGTAATTAATTTTAAAGGAAGCCCTGAATATACAGATAAACACTCTTTATCACAATTCTTACTCAGTTCTGGTTCTTGAGACATTTTTTTGCAGGTGCAAAAGTGGAAAATTAATTTGCTTGTTTTGTTTCTCAGATGTCTTTTCTGTTAGGGTGCATGTTTTAAAATTAACTTTATTCTGAATTAAGTATGAATAAAAAAATAGAAAATAATTAAAATGTAACTGTAAAACTTAATCTATGTTTTGCTATCCCTAAGTTACTGGATTATAACTAAGAAGTAAAAAATAGTTTGCCTTGGCTTAACATAGGAGAAAAACATGAACCAGCAAGCTTAACTCTCACTGTTAGTTTGGACTAAACTTAATTCATTATGAATTAAATCTGCCAGAAATGGGCTCACAGATGATATGTAGTATTCTAAAGGCTTTCTCTCTTAAAAGGATTTTGACCTCAGGATACCATAAATAGTGAACCCCTACAGTAAATTCATATTTCTGAAGATTAACTGGAGAGTAGGCAAATGCTAAACTATTAGAAGCCAAAATGAACACCAATCAGAAAGAGAATAAAATTTTTAGATTCTACTTCAAATGCTATACTGTAATATGAGTGTTATCTAGATAGATTATCCACTTATATCCAGTTCTAATATACTCTAAGTCCCACTAGTGACAATGGATTAAAAGATTTTAATAACATTTACTATTTATACTAAAATAAGAAGGTTATTGTTTGTACCCTGATACCAAAGTCCCATTCTGGAAGTCATAATTCTCTTAATAGGCAGCTGGGTTGATTTTATGACCCCATTCTCTCCCTGAACAAAGACACTGAAGGCAACCAGAAACCAAAAAACAGAAGAAGTCTTTAACCTCAGCACTGGTGACCAGCAACATAAAACTGCAGAGTCTGAACCACTAGCAACGATGACTCCTTTAACACGAGTTGAACTCAGTGGCCATCACTGTTAAATTGTTCATAATTTCTCTTGCTTAGTAATACAACTCAATTTTTGATGTTACTTTCTTTGTCATGAAGAAGCTTATAAAAGTAAAAGAGCAAAGAGACTTCTGGAAATTTCTGGCCTCAATTCCAAGGGTACAGATAGCTATGAGTTACTGCAGACTGTAAGGATATTTTAAATTTTATAACTGGCTAAAATGTTTTAAAATTAAGTAAGAAATTATGATCTGTCTGTTGGATTCTAAAAGGACAGTCTAAAAGGTCACTTCTTTTGGACTATGCTGTGTTATTAAAGAAAAACCAACCAACCAATATTAAACCAGAAATTTAAATTGTTACATACCTCTGGCTGTTTATTTTCACTTCTTTCAAGCGTTTCTTGCTTTTCCTCTGAAGCCACTTTTAAGTCGTGTTCTGCAGACAAATCCATATGTTTAGTTAAAATGAATGACTTAGAACACTTAGATAAAGACTATAATCTTTATAAAAATGGATACAAAATAACATATACTTTTATTTTATAAATGGAGAGTTTAAATGAAGCTTAATGTTTACTGGAATATTTACATTTTAAAGAAATACTTCTAATTATCTAAAACCTCAACAAACCACTTAAGGAGACACTAGATATCAGCAGGTTCAAGCCATGCAAAAGTCTCAGGGTCACCCACAAATTATTCCACGCAAAATAAATAAGCAAAACTGCTGGAAACAAAGTAAAATTTAAAAATATAGTAAAAACATATAAAGTAATACTTTATTCTCTACTTCATAATAGTATCTTTTCAACAACATGCTAAGTGAGTTGTTATTTACTAATAATTTGCAAAATTTTGTTACCATTATACCTTTATTAGTGTATATCCTGATTTTTACATCTGAAATGTTTTCCTCTACTATTCTGACAAATTTATTTTCGTGTTTTAAGACTCTGAATGTAGGCTGGGCACAGTAGCTCACACCTGTAATCTCAGCACTTTGGAAGGCCCAGGAAGGAGAACTGCTCCAAGCCAAGAGTTTAAGAGCAGCCTGGAGACCATAGTGAAGCCCTGACTCTACAGAAAATTTGCCACGCATGGTGGTGTGTGCCTGTAGTCCCAGCTACTCAAAAGGTTGAGGTGAGAGGATCCCTTAAGCCCAGGAGTTTGAGTTTGCAGTGAATCTCGATCATGCCATTGCACTCCACCCTGGGTGACAGAGTAAGAACTTGTTTCTAAAAACAGAAAAAGAAAAAAGAAAAAATGACTCAGAATGCTATGTGAAGTCCTCCTTGAATCTGGCTGTATTTCTCCACGTACACAGGCGTCTCCTTCCTTGGGGCTCCCTTAGTACTTTGTCAAGTTTTCTAGTGTCACTCCACCATCTGAACTGCACATCATGTCTTTGCATGTCTATCCCCTTTGCTGCTAGACTGTAGCAATCATCTTCGTATAAACAGTCTTGATTTTACTAGATATTCATGGAGTTCCTGCTAAGTGGTAGGCACTGGGGTTTCAATAACGGGAATAAAAGCCATCGGGGATGGCTTTTCTAGAGACCATGCCTGAGCTGAGACTTAGACAGAGAGGCTTACCAGATTAAAGGAGGCAGAGGGCAGGAAAGGTAGCACATGCCAGGCAGCGGCAAGAGAGGGAGAGAAGCTTCCCAGAGTATATTTTTCTACATGAGAGGGATGGTGATGGGGGCATTACCAGCAGCTCAGTAATGCCAGAAAAAAGAGCAGACAGAGAAGGGGCTGCAGATGGAGATTTGGGCAGAAGCCAGTTTCTGAAAGCCTTATATAAACCAACTATTATTGTCATTTCTTAAATTTTTTTTAAAAGCAAAATAAATTTAAAAAGCATAATTCCAAGAAAAAGACCAACATTTTATTTTATCTTATCTTATTTGATTTTATTTTTTATCAGAGATGGGGTCTTACTCTGCCACCCAGGCTACAGTGTAATGTTGCTATCATAGCTAACTGCAGCCTCAAACTTCGAGGCTCAAGCAGTTCTCCTGCTTCAGCCTCCCAAGTAGCTGGGATTACAGGTGCAGAACACCACACCCAGCAACATTAAAAAAAAAATTGACATGGGGTCTCGCTATGTTGCCCAGGCTGCTGGACCTCCTGGCCTCAAGGGATCCTTCTGTCTCAGCCTCTAACACTGCTGGGATTACAGGCAGGAGCCACCATTCCCGGCAACACCAATATTTTCAAATGAATAAACTGGAGCTCCATCATTTTATTTTATCATGGATGGGTGAAAACCTTGTAATAAGACATATGTACTCCATGGATTTGTGACAAGGCAACTATAGCATTAATTATGGCTGAAGCTTCCCTTGTCTCCCAGTCGCTTTACATGGTTAAGAGTAGAGACACATAAGTGTCTTACCTTTTGCACCTTCTTCTCCTTTTTACAAATTTGCAGGCTTCATAGCTGTTGTTTCTGTCAAACGTGCAAGTTGTTAGATATTCCTTCTGCAAAACATCACCCCTCTGCCTCCTTACATGGCAAAGTTTCACTCGCTCTGCATGCTTACCCTAAATCCCATCCATGTTTCAGAAGCTTGTGCTCATCACCACAAATTTAAAGGTGGATGGCATCTCACGAACATAATAAATACCTAGTAAATAATAACTACACGCTCCCAGGTGACATCTATCCTCCATCAATCCTCTACATAAGGGGTCAGCACACTGCAGACCACAGGCCAAATCCTGCCTACCATATGTTTTTTCTCAATAAAGTTTTATGAGAGTACAGTTGGGCCTACTCACTGACATGCTACCTGTGACTGCTTTCACACACAATGGCAGGGTTGAGTAGCTACAACAGAGACCACATGGCCTTCAGCTGCTTAAATCTTTCTTGAAAAGAGACAGAGAGAGACCACATGGTCTAAAATATTTCCTACTTGGCCCTTTACAGAAAAAGCATGCCAATCCCTGAACAGAATGCCCTAATTCTCAAATCTAATCTAATGCCTCCCCGGCTCACGATTTTCCAATGAATTTCTAGACCAAACACTGCTGGCTCCCTATCCAAGAGCAGTTCCTTATTGTTTCTTGCTGGAGAAACACAAATCTATTTGGATATTTATTATCCCAATACCCCTCCCCAGCTTTAAAAGAGAAATGATTATTCTAAGCTAATCACATTTGCTTTCCCAGTGCCTGGTTTAGGAATGAGCATGTGGTGTGACCCAGCCAATAAAATATTACAAAAAGGGCCAGGCACGGTGGCTCATGCCTGTAATCCCAGCACTTTGGGAGGCTGAGGTGGGCAGATCACAACATCAAGAGCTCAAGACCATCCTGGTCAACATGGTGAAACCCCATCTCTACTAAAAATACAAAAATTAGCTGGGTGTGGTGGCACGCACCTGTAGTCCCAGCTACTTGGGAGGTTGAGCCAGGAGAATCGCTTGAACCTCGGAGGTGGAGGGTGCAGTGGGCCAAGATCATGCCATTGCACTCCAGCCTGGTGACAGAGCGAGACTCTGTCTCCAAAAAAAAAAAAAAAAAAAAAAAAAAAAAAAAAATTACAAAAAGTCCCCTGCATACTTCTGGGTTTTCTCCCAATTTAATAGACACATGTGAAGAAAAGCAGCCCTTGTGAGAACACGATGTTTGGAGCTGTTGCTAAGTAGCCAACCATGAAAGGGGAAATGAACAAGATACTGCCAACATTGTAGCTGAAAGAGGAACAAGTGGGACCCAATTATATCACTGGACAATCAAAACAAGTCTGGTTCTTATGGTTTTGGCCACGGTTAGTTAGGTCTTCTAGTATTTACAGCCAAAAGCATTCTACCTGAGAAGTTTCCCCTGGCCTACAGGATAAGATCTACTCATTTCTATACTATTAAAAGTCTTTTATTAAACTTGTTTCTAGACACAGGTCAAACAACAACAACAACAAAGTCTTTGCTAAGCTTGCCTTCACTGGCACATACTGAACATAATAAATAATAACTGTAAACTATTTCCACCTCATTGCCAACCACTCCTATACACTTTTTTTGCACTAGTAAATTTGAACTGCTCACAAACGCTACAAAGCTCACTCAGGTGTCTTACATTTTGAAATTGCTCCTCCTTTTCTAAAACTTTCGTTCTTCATGGCTGCTGCTTCTGTCAAACATGCAACTTGTTAGATATTCCTTCTGCCAAGCATCATCCCTCTGCCTCCTTATTGGCAAAGTTCCACTCACTCTGCATGCTTACCCTAAATCTGACCCAGATTTTAGAAGCTTGCATTCATCACCACAAATGTAAAAGTGCCTGGCACATACTGAACATAACGCATACATAATAAATTATAACAATAAGCTCCCAGATGACATTGGACACACAGTAAGCACTACATAATGTAGTAAATAAAATAAATGACAATGGTATTCACAATCTCCTAAGTGTATTTTTAAAATGTATTTTGTAACATTGGAAAAATGCTTAGTCCACTAAAGACACATGATAGTTATTTTTTAAGTGGAAAAATGTATGAATGAATTAAAATATTTTTTCTTAAAAATTCTGGTTAAAAAACACAAAAATTAAATAGTTATCTGTATTCTATTATGAGCACCTTAAAGACAAAAACTATTCAATTCCATCTTTGTCTGCTGCAATTTGCCAAACCTAACTTATAGAAGTAGTTTGATAAATATGTACTAAATTAATGGTGCCTTTATACAGTTTAGATTGTACAATGCATTAGGCGTTATATTTTTGTTACTGTGAACCATTTTTTTTTTTTTTTTTTTTTTGAGACGGAGTCTCGCTCTGTCGCCCAGGCTGGAGTGCAGTGACGGGATCTCGGCTCACTGCAAGCTCCGCCTCCCGGTACTGTGAACCATTTTTATAATTTTATTATAATTTTTTGAGCCTAGAGTTTGGCTAATGGAATATTTATTAAGATCATCTTTTGCCTAATGGTAACAGAGCATTTTTTTTTTTTTGAGATGGAGTCTTGAGTCTTGCTCTGTCACCCAGGCTGGAGTGCAGTGGCACAATCTTAGCTCACTGCAATCTCCACCTCCTGGGTTCAAGCAATTCTCTTGGCTTAGCCTCCCAAGTAGTTGGGATTACAGGTGCCTGCCCTCATGCCTGGCTAATTTTTGTATTTTTAGTAGAGATGGAGTTTCACCATGTTGGTTAGGCTGGTCTCAAACTCCTGACCTCAAGTGATATACCTGCCTCAGCCTCCCAAAGTGCTGGGATTACAGGCATGAGCCACCATACCCAGCCTGGTAACAGAGTCTCTTGTTCTAACAAAATTAATATTATTATGATAATTGTCCAGCACATTTTTAAAAACAGCTTGTTCTAAGAAGTGAATATATCTCATGAGGTTCCAACCTATGGAGAATGAGGAAAAAAATAGACCTTGTTTGTAGAAGAATATGTAACATAACTTCTGCTTCTTGTAAAGGAATTACTTTCCCATCTTCTGCATTCAATAGGTATCTTCAAAAATAATCTCCTATTTGTATGGGTGCACACTGGCTCAGTTTTATGGTCCTTATTGCCATTTGTTTATGGTATCAGAAAGGGATTTTTGAGTTCCCAGTTCTAAAGATAGTTACTTTCTTAGTGACACAAATTCCTGTGTAATACAGTTGACTCTTGAACAACAAGAGTTTGAACTGCAGGGGCCCACTTATATGTAGATTTTTCTTCTGCCTCTGCAACCCAGAGACAGCAAAACCAACCTTTTTTCTTCTTCCTCAGCCTAATCAACCTGAAGATGATGAAGATGAAGACCTTTGGGAAGACTCACTTCTGCCTTATGAATAGTAAGTACGTTTTTTTCTTTTCTATGACTTTCTTTATAACAGCTTCATTTCTCTAGCTTACTTTATTGTACAAACATAGTATATAACAATGCAGCACATACCAAATATGCGTTCATGGACTGCTTGTGTTATCAGCAAGGCTTCCAGTCAATGGTAGGCTATTAGTTAAGTTTAGAAGGAGTCAAAGTTATACTCAGATTTTCAACTGCACAGGGATCAGAGCCCCTAACTGCCACATTATTCAAGAATCAACTATAATTAATATTTATTTACTAAATACAAACCATTTATTATAAAAATTAAATAGAAGATCCATTTGCATCAAAAGTCCAATTTGTAATAATGTGATTATAGAGGAAAATACAACATACTAACTTAAAAATCTAATTTCTTATTTATATTAATACAAAAATATCACGTCGAATTTCAGGGAACATAAGTAGGTAAATGCATTGTTTTCAGACAATACTGTGAGATTATGAATTAGCTACAACTAACTTCTTAACTCTGAATTCTAAACTAAATAAATTAAATTTAAAAAATGTATATACATATATATTTTAAACTGCTCTTTTATGATTAAAACTATGTAATCTTACTTTTTTTTTTTTTCGGAGATAGAGTCTTGTTTTTTTATCCAGGCTGGAGTGCAGTGGTGTGATCTCAGCTCACTGCAACCTCCACCTCCTGGGTTCAAGTGATTCTCCTGCCTCAGCCTCCTGAGTAGCTGGGATTACAGGTGCCTGCCACCATGCCCAGCTAATTTTTGTATTTTTAGTAGAGATGGGTTTTGCCATGTTAGCCAGGCTGGTCTCAAACTCCTGACCTCAGGTGATCCACCTGCCTTGGCCTCCCAAAGTGCTGGGATTACAGGCATGACCCATCATGCCTGGCCTGTAATCTTACTTTTTAAAATCAATAAGACCACCAAGAGAAATGAGAAATTTACTAAAAGAAGTCCTACCTTAATTGTCATTTTGAAGATGATTTTAAAGTACTTATTTTTAGGTTCCAAAATTTGTTGTTGAATGCTATGCATAATAAATGTAATAAATAAAATTACTATTTTAATAGTGACATGAAAAATATTTACCAACTATGTTAAATTCTTAAAGCATTTCAGACAATATCAGAGCTAATATCAGAACTCTAATGTCCTATACACTTTAAAATTTTAAGCTCTATAAACTTACTAAGCTTCTAATTAAAGAAGAAAAACATGAAGTACTCATAAACTGAGAGAAGCATAGCTCAGTAAATTAATTCTAGTTAGCTTAACATCCTGGAAAGTGTCCTGCACTCAGAATAAGTCCTCACTTTGTAACCAATAGGTATTTTGTTTTCAGACCAGTTGCTTCTCTTAGGCTCCATGGCTTTTTCTAAAAAATAAGGATTTTACTACCTTACTTCACTAGGCTGTTAGGAGGATGTAATGAGATAACATGTTTAAATATTCAGAGAAATAGTAAAGCAATGGAATAATTTATTCTTGAACTGTATTGCTGAAACAATTTTGGAATCTCAAAACCTGATGGGTGTTTTTTCATAGGTTCTAATATTTGAATGTCACAGTTTTCAGAAAATGTTATTAAGTGCTAATTTTGGTTATTAGTTCTATTCATTGTGGCTTGTAGTTCAGAGCATTTTAGCTAATTCATAACTTGTAACTAAATTTATATATAAATATATTATTATCTCATTAAAATAGATTACCTAATTGTTCCCTATTACTGAGCTCATCAATCACACCAAGGGCAGAAAACTAATAAATATCAAAACCTGGCTTGGACAACTACCATTCCTTCTCTACCTCCTCAAACTCAGAGCCAGCAGGTCTGTGTTAGAGGCTGCGTCTTCTTGGTCCTCTCCAACTGACATACAAGACAAAACCTGCTTGTCTTGTTTTTCGGTTCCATGAAAGAGATGCAAGTTGACGTTTCCTCATTTCCAAGTCATGGACTAACAACATGTTTGCATGTAACATCCCATATGTTACTCAGCGCTGTTCTCATTTCACAGATCACCTTACGTGAATACTTTTATAATAACAGTAACAACAATTTCAATATTGGATGTCTCCTGTTTTGGTCTGACTTGCACTGTTTCCTTGGAGCTAGTTAACAAATAGTCAAATGACCTTCTGGGGACTGTGCAAAATGTGGAATGCTTGCTGAATTTGTGTGCCATCCTTAGGCAGCAGCCATGCTTATCTGCTCTGTGTTGATCCAATCTTAGAATATACGCTGCTGAAACAAGCATAAAGCCCTGTTTTATACATGGATACTCATGAGTCATGGATGAGGCTTAGCTCTGTTAAATCCAAATTACCTAGTTTATATACGATAATTCTATTGAATGACTTCCTGTGAGGTAGAATTTTTAAATATTTTAAAAACTTGGGGTAGAGATGCAAGTAGCCTGAGAGATTTTCGTTGTTATGGAAACATGTTACTTGAGGGGCCAACTGCAAGTTGGTGCCCACTACTCTATTGCAGGATAATGTGGAACCTTCTGCTATCTAACAAAAGCTGCTACACAGGACAGAAAAAAGCCTCAAGGTACAGACGTGATAACAAAAGGGAAAGGGACCTCTGATCTCTTCCTGCCACATTATTTGAATGTCCCTGACTGCTGAAGACAATCCCAACTAACATTTGCTAGAGAAAAGATGAATACAGGTCTCAAAGGATAACTTACCATCAAGGTCTAGGCTAAGCCTAGCTAAGAGGTGGGCAACAAATAAGGTTTTTAGTGTTAGGGGAGGGTCAATTTACTCACTATGTGTGTGGGTAAAGCCAGGAGGCCTCGCTGCCAGAGCAGTGTGCTGGGAACAACGGCTGAGCATATGTACATGAACTAAAAAACACTGTAGCTGTGAGCTTTGTGTGTGAGTCACCACAAAGACTGAAGGGTCTGAATCAGTAAAGGCATCACTGTAGCTGTGAACTCTGTGTGTGAGTCACCACAAAGAGTGAGAGGTCTGAATCAGTAAAGGCATCCTGGTGGCAAAGGTTAGTCATTACCAGATCGCAGGACCAGTTACAATGGCAGCAATACAAGTGAATCAATGGAAACAGAATATTTAGAATGGCCTTTTCCCCCTATCTTCTGACTTGTAAAGCAAGATTGTCTTCCTTGGACTTAGGGAACCCCTTAGCTTTTTGAAAAATTCAAAGGATGAAGGCATAGGAGATAGCCCCAGGGGACAATCCAAGACTTTCTGCTAAACTGGACATTTCAAGACCCAATAACTAATTAGAAAAGTCAGGCCAGGCATGGTGTCTAGCAGTTTGGGAGGCTGAGGCAGGAGAATCAGTTGAGCTCAGGAATGTGGGCAACATAGTGAGACCTTGTCTAAAAAAAAAAGAAAGAAAGAAAGAAAGAAAAACAAGTAAAAATGTGACGTTATTTATATCTCACATATAAGGTTATATATAAGGTTATACTTGGAATAAAATGAACACTGAGATCCCTGGGGATAAAGGTCTTTAAAAGTCCTGAAAGAATCTTGCACTCATTGCTACTTCTAACTAGTCTAGCTTTCTGTGTGATTTCTGGCTAAACAATGGACTAATCACCAACAGCAGGTGCACTTGCCTGGTTCTTCACTAAAAATGCCACCATTTACTGTCTCTTACAAATTACAGCAAGCAAAAGTGGTGTATTTCCCTCCTGTAAGAAAGCAAAAACAATGTGCAATTCACAAAATTACATATTTCTCAATTGAACTAAAAATCTCCTATATGATGCTATGAACTTAAACTTACAATATAGCAAGTAAATGCGGAGCAGTCCCTTCCTTTTCACTCCTCTGTGCTTTCCCACACACTGCCTTGCAAACACCCCTCCTCTCCCTCCCCACGTTAACTTTGATCATCTCCAAAACTGACTTTATTTACCAGTCCTGAAAATCCTTGCTTCTATCACAGCATTTAGCACAATATGTTGTAATTATTTCACTGTTTCCCACTGAAACCAAGAGTTTCTTGAGGGCAAGGGCTGTGTCCTTTTTCTCTACAACCCTAAAACCTAATACATAGTAGCAAATGCTTTAGGTTTTTAAAATAAATTAATGATGAAAATTATTATCTTTAGAGCAGTGTTTCTTAAACTATCTTCCAAGGAATATTTGTTTTACCAGAAGAACTGTACCCCAACAGAAAGATGCCATGATCACCTGCATTTGAGAAGTATTACAAAACTGTATTATATGGTCAACAATCAAGAAATCCCTTCAACTTTGCCTAATTCCAATTTGACAATACTTTTTGTGGCAAACGTTAACATTTTAGGAACTAGAGTTTCAGGGATACAGTTGCCAGAACTTCCCAGTTCAGGTGGAGGTTTCCTCTGGGTGGTACAAACTTGCTTGATTTACTTCTGTAAATGGTGTCAGGATCCAATGTCAATGTCAGGCACTCCTGATCCGAATGGGTCACTAAGGAAATGAGCTCTGAATTAAGAGAGACTGGCTTCAATGCACTTATTTTCATTATTATTAAATAGTCCATGGGATTTCTCCTAATACAAGAGGATAGATTTTTATCTTAACTGTTAGAAAGCTCAGTATATTCTGTGTAAGAGAGACAGGTTAAAAGTGTTTGAAAATAAATATTAAAAAAGCAAAGCTCAGTAAGAAATTTTATTCTCAATTATAATGATAACCCTGGGATGCTAATGCAACTTTACTTTTTAAATCCATTTGTATTGGTTTCCATTCAAATTGCTATTTAACATTTTTTTTTTACTTTAGGCAAAATGTAAATCAGAAATAAAATTACAATGGCTTATCAATAAAAGTTTTAATATTGATGTATATGGCTTATTTCTAGCATAATAAAAGCCAATAAGTCACTTGCATTTTTAAGGGACATTGTTGAGAAGCATGACATAATGTTTGCAATATTCATAAACTAGCCAACTCTCACCAGGAATAACCTAAAAAGGCTTCCAGGCATTCTTATGAGCAGATGACTACTTGTGGTATACATATAAAAAAGAGCTAAAAAAAACTTTTGAATTCTAAACTTGAACCCCATAATTGAGGGATTTATAAACTATAGACTATATATTATAAACCAATATACACTGTCTTGAAAATCTTGAAATCTTTATGAAAATATACTATAAAACAGGAGTTGTAAACTCAAATACTTATAAGGATGAGGAGATGACCTAAGTAAGTGAAGTACTCAGGTGGGCACAGAAGCCAACTGGAGAATCTGTGCCTCCTACACAGGGCAACCTCTGCACAGCAGACCAAGCAGTGATGCGGTTCCGGGGACACCAGATTTGATTCTTAAGACAGGCCTGAGGTCCAGATTTCTGCATGAGTCTACTAAATTTCACATGCTAACTCAACTTAAAGAGGCAAATGAACAAATCTATGTGCCACAGTTAGACTATAGCCCTTGTGTATTTATAGTTTCCATGAATGTGTACTAAATGATTTTGTATAAACCAAGTATTTGCATGTGAAACTTTTTCTGTCTCTAGTATCATGTGTTTTATATAAAAATCAGCCCCTGATATATATATAATAAAAATTGCTGTTAAGACTCATAATACCCACCTGAAGAATTTTCCCAAAATTTATTCATTTGAAATCTGTTTGTATATTATTTTCCCAGATTGTTAACCAAATAGATAATTAGATCATAAGACTGCCGAAACTAACTTATTAAAAGAATTCCTATAGTATTCTCACCGACTTCATGGATTTCAGTGTTTAAAACTGACATCCTGATTGTGCCAAAGCTCTATAAACTTAACAGACATACTGACATAGTCCATAATACAATTTCAACTGAAAAAAAAAAAACGGTTCAGGATTTGCTACTAATCTAATTGAGAAAATTTCACTTGTAATGAACATTTGTTGACACATAATCACTTGAATGGTGACAAAGGAACATGAAATTGTGAAAGGGTCAGGCTTTACCTATTGAAAGATTACCCACAAGCAAATTGCTAAAGGCTCTCTGAATGGCAGTGAATGATTCCTGGTGGGAAGGAAAAGGTGTGTTTCTGTAAGCTGAGATATATTGCCAGCAATATTTCCTTTTACTTTCCAGTCACAAATGTAGAGAAAGATAAGTCAGGCTAACATTATTGGAAAGGAGAACTTTGAAGAAAGTAGCACCTATCAAATGCCAACTCTTTTAGAGATTTCTTATGTTTTTGAGATACGGGAATTTATATACTGCACTTACCTACTCTGTGGTTCTCAATCAGGAGTGTATTCAAACCCTGAGGTGTTTTTTTTTTCTGTTGTTGTTGTAAGAGACAAGAGTCTTACTATGTTTCTCAGGCTGGACTCAAACTCCTAGGCTCAAACAATCCTCCCACCTCAGCCTCCTGAGTAGCTGGGACTACAGAAACAAACCACTGTGTGCGGCTTCAAGAAAATATTTTTAACCATACCTGTTCAGACCTTATTAGCTCAGTTACATCAAAATCTTCAGGGGAAAGCCTACATTTGTACACTTTTAACAAAATTCCCCCAGGTCACTGTAATGCACAATTCTAGCTGAGAATTACTGCAGAGAATTACTACTGCTGAGAATTACTACAATCACTTCACTTTCATCACTCACCCACACCACCAATATCCTTTATCAGCTTGGGATGTGGCCAAAAAGAGAAAAGAGTATGAGATAGAGTTATTTATTAACACTCCAGTTAATTTTCCTGGCTATGGGTAGAACAGGGACAAGTAAACTCGAAATCCCACTTGATTTTGCTATTTATAAGCTCCTTATCTCCTACCTTCCCACCAAGACATTCTAGATTTGAGAGGAGAGTTTGGACTCTTGGCTAAGTGGCTGTTTTTGCCAGGATGGGTAATAAGTCAGTCACTAATTCGTTCGATCATTTGCTGAAGTGTTTCTCACTGCATCACCAGCTATTCACAGCCAATCTGGTTTCCTCAGAGTCCTCTAAAAATTAATCTTTAAGCAAGTTTCAATCACTTTGTTTACCAAACCAAAAATAATTACCCCAAAGCTGAAGAGCACTTTGTCTCAATACATAAACTGGAAAAACAACAAACTAAAAAACAAAACCTCTTATTAGCATTTTTCCTCATTACCTAATTTCCAAGTGACCTACATGTTTTTGATTGCTCTCCTTTTCCTTCCCCATTTTTCCCTCTTAAACTTTGCCACTGAAAGGCACATCAGTTTTTTTTTTTTTTTGAGAAAACTGTCAGCAGCAGCAAGATTTCCATTTATTGCAAGTTGCTTCAGTTTTGTTTTGAGTTTTAAGATAAAGCCTATTTCCAGGGTAAATTCTTTTCCTGTGTCTGCGTGTGTGTGTGTGTGTGTGTGTGTGTGTGTGTGTGTGTGTGTGTGTGTTTTACGTAATTAGAAAAAAAAATACACCTGGGGTAGGAAACAAATACTTGAAGAAGTTTTACCTTAACAAATTCACAAATACTTCCCATAAGTGCACTAAACAAGCTGTGCCCTCTAATGCTTCTTTAAAAGTATCAATATTTAAAGTAAAACCTGAGACAATTAAGCTATTTCAAAATATTTTCATTCAGGAATGCCTGATCATCCAAATATGAAAAATTGACTCTTACCTATGTCAATGTTAAAACAAATATTTTGAAAAGAAAGTTGATTGATCTATACCTTGTTTAGTGCTTCAGTATTTGCATGGTGGGAAAGCAGGCTTCCTGCCAGTGAAGTCCCCTTATCATAGACAGCATCATGAAGAGCAGTGTTGCCGTAGACATCCTCAATGTTTACCATCATGAAGAGCAGTGTTGCTGTAGACGTCCTTAATGTTTGGACTGGTGCCATGTTCCAGCAGAATAATGGAACACGTCTCTTCCTGGCAATATACAGCCTGTCAGTGTTAGATGAAAACTTAGACTATAAATTCTAAGAAT
This sequence comes from Homo sapiens, assembly GCF_000001405.40. Taxonomy (NCBI): domain Eukaryota; kingdom Metazoa; phylum Chordata; class Mammalia; order Primates; family Hominidae; genus Homo; species Homo sapiens. The sequence goes on along the minus strand of NT_187539.1, from coordinate 154,897 downwards.
TCAAAATACATATTCCACAGGTTTCACCAACTAGTTATATTTAAATGAGATACATTCATTTTAATTCTATGTATTTAGTGAAATCTTTTTCGTGCTGAGAGAGTTGGCTGCTGTATACCTTCATTAAAGGCGTCCTGTTTAGTCTGTCACAGATGTCGATCTGACATTTTCTGCTCAGCAAGAGAGTGACCACTTGCACACGGCCGTGGGCACAGGCCAAATGTAGAACAGTCCTAGGAGAGTGAGAGGGGTTTTCAGGAAATTGTAGTGCAGTATCTCAAAACCTACAATGGTTCATGTCATTGTAAACATTGAAGAGCATTCCTCTGCCTTCAAAACAAATAATTTTCTTTTGAAGAAAGTACATTTATTAGCTCTTACTGCTCACTCCCTTAATGAAACAGCAGCCTATTTGGACAGAATGAGCTTGGTGTTTGGATTCAGTTCAGCTGGGGCTTGAGTTCTACTTTGAACTCAGCCACGTACCAGGTATTGCTTAGCCTTTCTGTGCCTCATTTTCCTCATTAATAAAATAAAGATGACAATAGCAGCTAGTTCACAGGACACCATTGTGATGCTTAAATGGGAATCTATGTAAAGTATTTAGAACCATTTCTAGAACAAGCAACAACTCAATAATTGTTAGATTGTTGGTTTTTTTTTTTTTGAGACAGGGTCTTGCTCTGTTGCCCAGGCTGGAGTGTAATGGTGTATTACATATATTTCATATATTAATGGTGTATTACATATATTTCATATATTAATGGTGTATTACATATATTTCATATATTAATGGTGTATTACATATATTTCATATATTAATGGTGTATTACATATACTTCATATATTAATGGTGTATTACATATATTTCATATATTAATGGTGTATTACATATATTTCATATGTTAATGGTGTATTACATATACTTCATATATTAATGGTGTATTACATATACTTCATATATTAATGGTGTATTACATATATTTCATATATTAATGGTGTATTACATATATTTCATATATTAATGGTGTATTACATATATTTCATATATTAATGGTATATTACATATATTTCATATATTTCCTCACTGCAGCCTGGAACTCCTAGGCTCAAGTGATCCTCCTGCCTCAGCCTCCTGAGTAGCTGGGACCACAAGAGTACACCAGCATGCTCAGCTAATTATAAAAAAAACCTGTAGAAGGAATCTTGCTTTGTTGCCCAGGCTGGTCTCAAACTCCTGGCATCAAGGGAACCTCCCATACTTCTATATCTATTGTCACTTTCAATGGTCACATATTATTCCATCCTATGGATGCAACTGAAACTTATTTATAGGACACATTCTGAGGGTTCTTTTTAACATAAATGCTGAGAAAAACAAAGTACACGTATCTCTATTTTCTAAAGGTATTTTAATACAATGGAATTGATAGGTAAATGGCATATACATTTTTAAAATGTGGTAATTACCACCAAATTATCTATTTGAAAAGTCATCAGCAACTTAAACTTTAGGCAGCAGTGTAAGTACCACTGCTGTTTATTCTCACAAACATTGTGGATAGAAAAGAGTCTCATTCCTCTTTTAACTTAAATTCTTTTACGAGAAACACTAAGGACTTTTTCCTATGTACATAAGTAACTTGTGGATCTGCAGAAAAGTACGTTGCTCACTTTTAGAGTTCTTTTCTTGTGGATTTGATTTGAAAGAATTCCCTATAAAATAAAGATGTGCTTTTTATCTGTATATAAATAACTGATATATATAACATTATGTCACTATTATATACAATTTTTTATATGTATAATCAGTTATATATCATAATATATATAATAAAAAGTAAATTCCCTGTAGGATGAAGATACACTTTTCATCTGAATATCTATTTATATATATATTAGTAAAAACATATACATAGTAAATATTTTTCAAGTATGTTATCGTTTGTTAATTTTTTTCTTATACACAGGGGGGTTTTAATTTTTTTTTTTTTTTTTGAGACAGAGTCTCGCTCTGTCACCCAGGCTGAAGTGCAGTGGCGCGATCTCGGCTCACTGCAACCTCCACCTCCCAGGTTCAAGTGATTCTCCTGCCTCAGCCTCCCGACTAGCTGGGACTACAGGCGCGTGCCACCATGCCAGGTTCATTTTTTGTATTTTTAGTAGAGATGGGGTTTCACTGTGTTAGCCAGGATGGTCTCGATCTCCTGACCTCATGATCCGCCCACCTCAGCCTCTCAAAGTGCTGGGATTACAGGCGTGAGCTACTGCGCCTGGCCTGGGGGTTTTAATTTTTAGTTTGCTAAATCAACCTTCAGAATGCCTGCTTGTGAGGTCATTCTTAGGAAGGCCTTTGGCAATGTAAAATGTACCTGTATAAATAAGCATTTGTGTTTTCTTCTGGTACTTTTCTCATTTTGCATATGTAAAAAATTCAATCTGTATTCCATCAGGAACTCATTTTTGTGACATAAAATTTCATTAGTTTTCTTCAAAGAGCAGGCATTTTATTAACAACTCAACCCTTCCTACTCATCTGAAATGTTACCATTATCAGTCCTTACATCTATATCTTACATATATTTCAGTGTTTCTGGGTTTCCATTCTGTTCCATGTATTTATGTCTTTTCAGCTGATAGTAAATAATTGTGGGAATTAATAGCACATTTTGATATCTAGAGGAGCAAGTCTTTTTTTCACTCCATTATAAAAATTTTTAAATGTCATCACAATATTAAGACAGCAGATGTCGTGCAAAAATGATAAATCCTTGATATTTTCATTCGGTTTATGTAAAACTGATAAACATGGAAAGAGCTCATGTTTTGAGAAAACCGAGTCTTCCCATTCAAGGAACCCGCCTCCCACTTCCAAGTGTCCCTCTAAGAAGCTCCAGTAAAGAACCTGTCTACCTGGGTGGATTCGGATGTAAAACCGACACAGGCTTTTATCTGAGAACTTTCCGCCTACTGAACATGACTCATGGTATTTTTGACATGGGAATGAGTTCTCATTAAGCACCTCCATGACCCCACGTTTTAAACGAGTATATGCTTAACTTTGTGAGTTGAATCACTCAACTTCTCCACCAAGTGCTCCAGGCGGGGAATTGCCAGCGATGGAACGCAGCTGAGGCTCCGTTTGGCTCCGCCGCTCTGAGGGTGCCCAGCGCCCTCCAAGGCCCCCGTCCCAGGGGCTGCGGGGCTGCGGGGAAGCCGGGCCTGGGGACCCCCTCCCACCCCGGCTGAGCCCCCGCTACCTGTCCTGGGCATCCACGTCCCGGCACCTGCGCGCCAGGCGGCGCTCCACCTCCGCGGCGTCGCCCTTGAGGGCCGCCCTGTGGATCTTCCGCAGTTCCGCGTCCCTGGTGTGGTACGCGGGACCCGGGTACTCGTGGTCGATGGAGCCCAGGACCGCCCGGCCCGGGCGTCTCCCGAAGCTGAAGAGCTTCCTCATGGGGCGACTTCTCCTCAGACGCCCACCACCGGCTCCTGAGCCCCCGCGGCTCCTCGTGGCCTTTCCACTAACCCTAACCCCAAACCCGAGATGTAGCTCAGAATCCGCGACCCGGCCGGGTCCACCACAGCCTTCAGCAGCGACACTCGCAGCCTCTGACCTCTCAGCCCGCGAAGCCGTTAGGCGCGCGCCTGCAGCTCAGCGCCCGCGCGGACTCCGGAAGCCGCTCCCAAGCCCGCGCTGCCGGCAGGGGGCGGCTGCGGCTCGGGCGCAGGCGCCGCTGGCTTGCGGGTTCTCCTGGGCTCGCCCGGGACGTCCCGTAGTCGCAGGCGCGCAACCCGCCCGGCCTGAGGGCCCGCCTGGCCGTGACCCCCGCCCCGCTCCTCCTCCGAAGAGAGATCGGGGCCGCTGGCAGGGGCCCTCCGCAGCCACCAGGGATGGGGCTGTGGGGCAGTTCCCGCCCCGGTGCAGCCGCCGCCGGGCAGACCGCCTGGCTTGGCTGCAGCCGCGGCATCTGGCTCCGGTTCTGCGAGGCTGGGAGCTCCAGCGAGCTTGGGAGCTGCCAGGCGGCTGCTGCGAGCAGGCAGAGGGCGCCTGGAGCTTGGGCCCTCAGGCGGCGGAGCATGGCCTGGGCGGCCTCTGGATCGCGAGTGCACCTGGCCTGAGAGCCTGCCAGGCCCTGCCCCCGCTCGGCTCCTCCTCTGCCGGAGCTCCGGACCGCTAGCCAGGGGCCCTCTGCAGCCACCGGGAATGGGGCTGAGGGCGGGTTCCCGCCCCTGTGCAGCCGCCCCAGGGCCGACTGCCTGGCTCGGCCGCAGCCACTGGTACATCTGGCTCCGGTTCTGAGATGTTGGGAGTGCGGGCGGGCTCGGGGGTTGCCTGGAGGCTGCTGCCTGCACACAGAAGGCGGCTGCAGCTTGGGTGCCCAGGCGGGCTGGAGGGGCATGGCCTGGGCGGCCCCGGGATCGCCAGCGCGCCCAACTGAGGGTCCCCAGGACGTACCTCCCGCCCCACTCCTCCACCGCAGGGAGTTCGAGGCCGCTGGCATGGGCACTCGGCATTCACCCCGATGGGGTTGAGCGGCTGGTTCTCAGTTCTCGCCCCTGTGCAGCCGCCGCCGGGCAGAATGCCTGGCTTGGCCGCAGCCCTCGGGACACCTGGCCCTGGTTCTGCGATGCTGGGAGCGCGAGCAGGCTCGGGAGTTACCAGGCAGTTGTTGCCTGCACACAGAGGGCGACTGCAGCTTGGGCGCCCAGGCGGCGGAGCATGGTCTGGGTGGGCTCCAGAACGCGTGCGCGCCAGGCCTGTGGGCCCCCCTGGTGGTGCCACCCGCCCCGCTCTTCCTCTGCCGGAGCCTGGAGCAGCTGGAATGGCCACTCTGCAGTCACTGGGGATGGAGTTAAGTTTTCTTATCCCATGCATGCACACGAAAAGGTAACTATTATGTGAGGTAATTAACATGTTAATTGACTTCATTTTGGTAATCATTTCAGAATGTGCATATATAAACATATCACACTGTCCACCTTGAATATGTGCAATTTTTATTTCTCTATTAAACCTCAGTAAAGCTGAAAAAATTAACAAGATCAAAAGGATAACCCCGCAGTTTTATAGTAGTAGTTGGACACTTCAATACCTCATTTATGGGCAAGGACTTCATGTCTAAAACACCAAAAGCAATGGCAACAAAAGCCAAAATTGACAAATGGGATTAATTAAACTAAAGAGCTTCTGCACAGCAAAAGAAACTACCATCAGAGTGAACAGGCAACCTACAAAATGGAAGAAAATTTTCGCAACCTACTCATCGGACAAAGGGCTAATATTCAGAATCTACAATGAACTCAAACAAATTTACAAGAAAAAAAAAACAACCCCATCAAAAAGTGGGCGAAGGACATGAACAGACACTTCTCAAAAGAAGACATTTATGCAGCCAAAAAACACATGAAAACATGCTTACCATCACTGGCCATCAGAGAAATGCAAATCAAAACCACAATGAGATACCATCTCACACCAGTTAGAATGGCGATCATTAAAAAGTCAGGAAACAACAGGTGCTGGAGAGGATGTGGAGTAATAGGAACACTTTTACACTGTTGGTGGGACTGTAAACTAGTTCAACCCTTGTGGAAGTCAGTGTGGCGATTCCTCAGGGATCTAGAACTAGAAATACCATTTGACCCAGCCATCCCATTACTGGGTATATACCCAAAGGACTATAAATCATGCTGCTATAAAGACACATGCACACGTATGTTTATTGCAGCACTATTCACAATAGCAAAGACTTGGAAGCAACCCAAATGTCCAACGATGATAGACTGGATTAAGAAAATGTGGCACATATACACCATGGAATGCTATGCAGCCATAAAAAATGATGAGTTCATGTCCTTTGTAGGACATGGATGAAATTGGAAATCATCATTCTCAGTAAACTATTGCAAGAACAAAAAACCAAACACCACATATTCTCACTCATAGGTGGGAATTGAACAATGAGAACACATGGACACAGGAAGGGGAATATCACACTCTGGAGACTGTGGTGGGGTGGGGGGAGGGGGGAGGGATAGCATTAGGAGATATACCTAATGCTAAATGACGAGTTAATGGGTGCAGCACACCAGCATGACACATGTATACATATGTAACTAACCTGCACATTGTGCACATGTACCCTAAAACTTAAAGTATAATAATAATAAAATAAATTAAAAAATTAATGGATAGAAAAACCAGATAGAAGCTTGATGAGAAATGGAAGACCTGAACAACAGTATAAGCCATTTAGAGCTAATACACATATGGAGAACAGTCCACCCAACAACAGCAGAATACACATTCTTTTCAAGCGGATATGGAACTTTCTCTAGGATAGGCCATATCTTCGTCCACAAAATATGTCCTAATCATTTTTAAAACCTTGAAATAATACAAAATATAATTTACAATCACAATGGAAGAAACAACAGATACATAAAAAATGAAAACTGGAAAATTCACAAATATGTGGGAATTACAGAATACACTCTTAAACTAACAGTGAGTGAAGGAATAAATCACAAGCAAAATTATAAAACATCTTGAGACAAATTAAAATAAAAACAAAACATACCAAAACTTATTGCATACAGTGAAAGTAGAATTCAAAGGAAAATGTATGGCTATAAACAACTACATTTAAGAAAAAATCTCAAATCAGTAACTTCACTCTATACCTACGGGCAGTAGAAAAAACAAAAAAAGACTAAATCCAAAGCTGGAAGAACGAAAGAAATAATAAAGATTAGAGCATAAATAAATAAAATAGAAGGTTGAAAAGCAGTGGAAGAAATAAACATAGCTAGAAGTTGATTCTTTGAAAGATCAAACCTTTCACTATATTTACTGAGCAAAAGATGGAAGACTCAGTATTAAAATCATAAATGAAAGTGGCACCATTACTACCAACTTTACAGAAATAAAAAAGGATTATAGGACTATACTGTGAACAACTGTATAACAACAAATTAGGTGCCCTGGATGAAATGGATGAATTGCTAGAAAGACACAAACTACCAAAATGGCTCAAGAAGAAAGAGAAAATCTGAATAGACAAGGAGATTGAATTAGTAATCGAAAGCGATATAACAAAGAAAGATTTATGACCAAATAGCTTCATTAACTGGTGAGTCTACCTAACATTTGAAGAATTAACACCATTTCTTCCCAAACTTTTCCGACAAAATGTGTGAAGAAGGAATACTTGCTAATTCACTTTTTGATAACAGCATTATCCTGATACCAAAGCCGAGATCGCGCCATTGCACTCCAGTCTGGGCAACAAGAGCGAAACTCCGTCTCAAAAAAAAAAAAAAAAAAAAAAAAAAAAAATCAGTGTAATATACTATAATAGTAAAATGAATAAGCACATGATTATTTCAGTTGATGCAGAAAAAACATTGATGAAATACAACACCCGTTTATGATAAAAATACTCAATAAACTAGGCATAGAAAGGAACTTCTGCAATATGACACTAGGATATATAAAAAACTGACAGTTAATATCATGCTCAATGATGAAACACTGAAAGCTGTTTCCCTAACATCTAGAACAAGGCAAGGATGGTGACTTTGCCCCTTCTATTCAACATAGCACTGGCAGTTCTAGCCAGAGAAATTAGGCAAGACAAAGAAATAAAAGGCATCTAAATTAGAAATAAAAAAAGAAGTAAAATTATATCTACACATTATCATATATCTATGAATCTCCAAAGAAAACACAAAACCCATTAGAACTAATAAAATAGGCAGGATGCAAGACAAACATATGCAAATTAGTTTTATTTCTATATAGTTGTAATGAACTATCAAAACATTTTTAAAATCCCATTTATAATAGCATCCAGAAATAAGATATTCAGGCATCAATCTAACTATGGTGGTATACACAAAACTTTGCTGAAAGAAACTAAAGAGAGTTGAAATAACTGGAAAGATATTCTGTGTTCATGGATTGTAAGACAATATTGTTAATATGTCAATACCATCTATAGTAATCTATAGATTCAATGCAATACCATCAAAACCCCAAAGACATTTTTTGCAGAAACAGAGAAACTCATTCTAAAATTCATACAAAAACTCAAAGGATCTGACATAGATGAAACGATCTTGAAAAAGAACATTGGAAAACTCACATTTTCCAGATTCACAACGTGCTACAAATCTACAGTAATCAAGAGAGTGTTTTACTGGCATAAGACCAATTGACATTTAGACCAATAGAATAGAATTGAGATCCTAGAAATTAGTCTTCACATATATGGTCGACGACTGTTCAACAAGGGGGCCAAGACCAGTCAATGGAGGAATGAACAGTCTGTTCAACAGCTGGGTATCAGTGCACAGGAGAGAAGTTAGACCCTTGCCTTGCACTATATACAAAAATTAACTCTAAATTAACAGAAGACTTAAATATAAGGACTAAAATGTGTAACTCTTGGACGAAAACACACAGGAAACCTTCATGACCTTTGAGTCTTAAGTGTTTTTTGAAATATGACAGAAAAGCACAGATAACAAAAGAAAAAATACATAAGTTAGATTTAATCAAAAACTTTCATGCATCAAAGGACACTATCAAGGAAATGAAAAGACAACCCATAGTATGTGAGAAAATATGTATCTGATAAAAGAAAAATGTGTATCTGATAAAAGCTTAATATCTCAAAACTCAACAACAGAATTTCTAACATCCCAATTAAAAAATAGGCAAAGGACCTGAATAGACGTTTCTCCAAAGAAGATAAACAAATGTCTAATAAGAACAAGAAAAGATGCTCAACACCATTATTCATTGATAAAATGGAAAACCAAACCAAAATGAGATGCCACTTTGCTTCCACTAGTATGGCTTTCATAACAACGACACAGAAAATAAATGTTGCTAAGGAGGTGGAGAAATTGGAGCCCTCATGAACTGGCTGCTAGGAATAGAAAATGATGCACTTGCTGTGAAAAACAATTTGGTACTTCCTCACAGAATCACACAGAGAACCAGAAATTCCACTCCTAGGTATGATACACAAAAAAGTTGACAGCAGGGTCTTGAACAGATATTTTTACACCAAAGTTAATTGCAGCATTATTCGCCATAGCCAGAGACAACCCTTGTCCATCAACGAATGGATACACAAAATATAATACATAAATAATAGAATATTATTCAGCCATTAAAGGGGATGAAGTTCTGATACATGCAACATGGGTGAAACTTGGAAACATGATGCTGAGTGAAGTAAACCAGACATGAAATGACAAATGTTGTATGATTCTGCTGATATGAAATATCTAGAACAGGCAAATCTGTGAAGACAGAATGAAGATTAGTGTTTACCAGAGACTGGGGAGAGGAAGTAATGGTGAGTTACTGTTTAAGGGTACTTTATTTCTTTTTGTGATGGAAATGGAGATGCTGGTTGTACAACACTGGGAATGTACTTAATGCTATGAATTATGTACTTAAAATTGTTAAAATTTTAACACAATTAAAAAATTTAAATACAGATCTGATAATTATTTCTATATCCATTGTTATTTAAAAGTTATTTGCTCAGTTGCCAAATATTAAGGTTTTTCTGAACATATTTTTGTTATTGATTTTTAATTTAGTCCTGTTTTGCTCAGAGCACAAACTGTCTATGATTTAATTTCTTTTATATTTAGTGAGAATTATTTGATGGTCCAGTACTTGATCTATCTTGATTAATGTTCCACAGACATTTGAAAAGTAGATCTGATTATCATCACCTTTACTCTGTTGATGTCTGTTTCACATTTTGAAGTTTCATTAGGTTCATCCATTTAAGATTGTTAATTTTATGAACTGGCCTTTTTTGATTATGACCTGACACCTTTATCTTTGGCAGTACTCCTGTTTTGAAGACCACTTTATCTAATATTAATATGGGCACACCATGTAGGGTTAGTATTTGCATGGCACATTTACATCCATACCTTTGCCTAAATGATGTAATAATTACTTTCCAAAACCACCTCCAAAGATGTTCTAAAACTATTATAATTAGGGATAGTTTCACCAGATCTTTCAAGAACTTTTAAATACCAGGGCTTAGATGACACTGATACCAGGGTACACAAAAATGCCATTAAGATACCTATTATAATTGGAATTTTCAGGGATCAGCTGATAAATGGCTTTCTGGTCCGCCTTTCTCTCACATTAGTCTAATGGGTTTGTTAAACTACCCTGTGTTCATTGCCCTGGTCATCGAGGACATAATTGAAATGGATGTACACAGCAACTTACAGAAATTGCATTGGTTTGTTGAAATGTAGAATAAGATCAATTATGGTAGGGAAGACCAAGCAAAAGTTCCGGTATTAGGCAGCGCTTTTCATAGAAACAGAATCAATAGGACACACACACACACACACACACACACACACACACACACACACAAACACACAGAGAGACAGAAGGATAGAGACAGAGAGAGAGAGAGAGACAAAAAGAGATAAATAAAGAAAATTTATTGTGGAAATTGGCTCACACAATTATGGAAGACAAAAAGTCCCATGCTATGCCATCTGCAAGCTGGAGAACCAGGAAAGCCAGTGATGTAATTCAATGAGTCTGAAGACTAAGAACCAGAAGAGTCAATGGTGTAAGTCCTGGCATCCAAACGCTCAAAAACTGGAGCTCCTCAGGGGAAGAGAAGATGGATATTGCTGTTATAGAAGAGGAAGCAAATGTGCCTTTCCTCTGCCGTTTTGTTGTATTCTGGCCTTCAAAGCTTGCGTGATGCTTGCCCACACTGCTAAGGGCAGGTCATCTTTACTCAGTTTACTGATTCAAATGCCAAGTTCCTCCAAAATCAGTCTCACAGTTTTCTGGGTACCCCATAAGCCAGTAAAAAAATAAAAGTAATAAAACATAAAATGGAATAGGAAATGGTAAAATAAAACATAAATGGTTAACATAAAATTCACCATCACATTCTCTCATGAAAACAGAAAATCAGCAACGAATAAGATGGCAGTAATAATAGCATTCTCAAAGATAAAAGGGGTGCAGGTGTCGAAGTCCCTAGCACATCCCCATTTAATGTACTGGAATGACCCATGCAAAATTTTGAATCTGGAGGATGATGGGGGAATCATGTAAATGTCAGCAACTGATAATTCCAAATGCATCTGCTGTGTATTGATATTATGTAGTATCTGTATTTTAACAGCTCAACCCAGCTTCTACTCTTGGTTTTGCATCTATGATCTGACAAATATCACTTTCTATCCCCTTCATGAAAACAGATAAAAGGTATTTTCATTCACCAGGGTAGACCACAGAACATATTTGCTGTCTTGCCCAGGGCTATGATTGTGTTTTGTTATAATATGACCTGAAGTAACCTTAATAGTCTTAAAATTACAAAGACCAAAATATTGATCACTATATTGATGATATCAGATTTATCAGCCCTAGTGAGCAAGAAATGTCATTTTCTGATACTCTTGTACAGGAATGTGAACAATAAACCATAATCTGAAACATAAAACCTACAGTCTTGAGACTGGCCTTTCACTGGTAAATATTTTAGGTTTGCGGTTGCCCTCAGTAATTCAGGATACCTTCCATGTAGAGGACAAGATGGTAAATTATTGCATTTTGTACCAGCTGACATATAAAAGCATCGCAGTGTTGGTTATGGTTCTCTGGATTTTGGGCACTATGTAAACACCCCACTTGGGAATACTGCATCAACCCATGTCTCCAATTTGTAATGGCTTTCAGCACAAGCAAGTCTTTTGTTCTCGTGAATTGGCAGAATTAAGAGAGCTCTTCATGACTGAGGTTAAACAGAAGCTCTGGCAAGCCCCCATGAGAAAGTTTTAAGTTATGTTTATATATGTATATGTAATAAAAAGTAATAGAACGCAAAAGGGAAAAGTGTCTCAAAGTTTCTTACTCTGTGTAAAAATAAGTACTATTAATAGCTTTCATGCAGCGTTTAATTATAATAAATATTATAAAAATTGTAAATAATACATATGCATATTCTTCCTTTCCCATAAGGTACTTTTATCTTACATATAAAATACATCTATTTTCATTTTCCTATTTGTGACTACAGGACAATTTAAAAATTACGATCTGTATTTATTTTACTTCAGTGATCTTCGCTGAAAAAGTTTCAACTGATTTTATAACGAATTAGATATAATCTGATTAGATATATTAGATATAACCTGAAATAATCATATAATTTAAGAAGTGGAAGAGAACTTGGGTATTACTGTTTTATGGCATAAAAAAGGGCTGAAGTCAAATAATAATAACGAACGTTTCTTGATCATTTACTATTTGTTAGGAACTTTGTTACAATTAATTTTCACAACAACCCCATGACCCACGTAATAGTTTAACCTTGTTTATTTTTTGCAATAAATCTATGGTATAGGTACTATTAATATTAGCAACTTCCTGGCTAACACGGTGAAACCCCGTCTCTACTAAAAATACAAAAAATTAGCCGGGCATGTTGGCACGCGCCTGTAGTCCCAGCTACTCGGGAGGCTGAGGCCGGAGAATGATGTGAACCCGGGAGGCGGAGCTTGCAGTGAGCCGAGATCGCGCCACCGCACTCCAGCCTGGGAGACAGAGCGAGACTCTGTCCCAAAAAAAAAAAAAAAAAAAAAAAAAAAAAAATATATATATATATATATATATATATATATATATATATATATATATATTCAGCTAGCAGTTTTCCACAGGGATGATTTTGTCCCCCGAGGTAAACCTGGACATTTTTGGTTGTCACGACGATGGGGTAGGAGACAGTGGCATCTAGTGGGTAAAGACCCGAGACGCAGATAAACAAAAAATGGGACAACGTCTGGGAGCAAAGAAATGTCCAGGCCAGATCTCAATGTATCAAGGCTGAGGAAGATTATCATAGAAGAAGAAACTGGATCTTTGAAAATTTATGTTTGCCTAAGACTCTTAAGTAAACAATGACAACCCAATAGTTTGTGGGGAAAACTTTGAAGCTACATAATAATAATGATAATAATAATAATAATAATCTAGATACTAATTTTCAAGTGACTCATAAAAAAACCCTTAAATATCTAAAGTAAGGTTTATTCTATTTTTCTGACCCCCTTTCTTTGCTCTATGATATTTTGGTTCAGATATATATTCTTTTTATTTAAACTTAAATAATGAATTTTCTTAATCTTTTCCAAATTAGATTCCATGAAAGCCTTCTCATATTGGAATTAGCAAATATTTGAAGACTCTTCTTACATGTTTGATTTGAGCACTGCTTAAGCATAGTGTATATTTTCATGTTATCATACTTCACTCTTTCTTATTTGAAAGTACATTATTTTTTAAATAACCTAAATTAGGCATATTTTTATATTTAGTACCTATGTGCTATGTCATTGATTTTTATTTTGATCTATCTTCTCTACTAATATTGCTGTCTTGATTTTAATATCCCAACATATATTACATTTCATATCATAAATACTTTGTGTTCTAGGATTATTGCTCCTCCTATAGCAAAGCAATAGTCTATTAAGGATATGAACTATCTGTTAAATCTTACACGTATTTCAACTTTGTTGAACATTTGAAGACATTTCTATATTTATTTTTCATTAATGACTCTTCATGATTGAGAGTAAATGTCAGTATCCAGGTGCTCAATGAGTATCAGTAGTTGGAGACTGATCTAGAGCTCATGGGATTTAGCTCATAAGTTACTTTTGTCCAGAGATTCTAAGACTGAGGGAAGGGTACAAATTGCTGTCTGCTGTAATACAGAGTAAAATATTAGGTGTGTAGTAAAATAGTCCTGCCAGACTTGTCCAATCTTACTATAGAATGTTGAGACTTTGTAAAGAAATGTTTAAATTAACATAACTTCAGATGACATATCTAGTAGTATAATGAGCTTATAATTTAATGGAAGTAAAACATTAACATTAAAAGATTATAAGGTAGATTGCACTCAGGGTGTTACCAGAGAGAATCATTCTAATGCACTAGATAGAGGTGGATAGGATTGTAGTACAGTCATCCCTCAGTATCTGTAGGAATCAGTTCCAGAAGCTCCCAGAGTCACTGAAACCCTGTAACATTTACATATAACCTATGCACATACTTCTGTGCACTTTAAATCATCCCTAGACTATTTGTAATACCTAGTAAAAGGAAAATGTTATGTAAATATTTGTTATCATGTATTGTTTAAGTAAGGGAATAAAGTCTGTACATATTAAGTATGAACACAATTTTTAAAAAATGTTTTTTATCTGTGGTTGGCTAAATAGATGGATGTGAAACCCACAGATATGAAGGGGATTTGAAACTGGTAAAGTTTTATTGTTTATTTTAAATTTAAAATATAACTGTTACTTCATATTAGGAGTATATTAATAATAAATGTTTACTGCAGAATAAAATAAAGACAAAAAAGTAGTTATTTATATAGCTATATCAATATTTTTCCAAACATACTTGTATTATTTTGTTTGCAAAAAATGGAGAGCATACAGAATAATTGGATTTAATTCTTATTAATTCATTTATAATTTTATGAGAAAGATACTTTTGTTCACTCAACATTTTTCAAAATACATTTTAATGGTTACATAACATTTGATGCAATTCTACCATATTAATGTACTATATATTTAGCCATTTCTTCATTATTAGGCATTTACATTATTTTAATTATATTCTTCTAAAATTTTATAAATATCTTCACTCAGAAGTATTTGTTTTTTTAAAATTTATGTAGATTGGCATTACTGGGCAAATGTCTTGAAACTTTCTTATTTATTAAGTATTTTTCCACCATGAGATTTTAACAGGTATTTGTCTTTGAGTTATTTGATTTTTATTTGATTACAGTTAACTGTTGTGTCCATCTGGAAATTATTTTTATATTAAATGTAAGTTCAAATTATAATGATATATTTCAAATATATAATTGAATTTTTAAAAGTAATATTTAATAATTCTTCATTCACTGATCCAAATGACACTTAAAAAATAAGTTTAACAAAAGCTTACTCTATTATCATGATTTTTAATTAATACAGTTTTTTAAATCAGATTTTCATTTCCTATAAGGGCACTCATTATTTTTTGTTACCTCTGTTCCCCTCTAGTTTTTCATTCTTTTCTTTTTAAATTTCAACTTTTATTTTATATTCCAGGGGTAGATGTGCAGGTTTGTTACAAAGATATATGATGTGATGCTCAGGTTTGGAGTATGACTGAACCCACCACCCAGAAATAAGTAGTTTCTCAGTCTCTCCTCTGGTATCCCCAGCGTCAGTTGTCCCCATCTTTATAACCATGTGTACCCAACGTTTAGTTCCCACTTATCAGTGAGAACACATGGTATTTGGTTTTCTGTTTCTGCTTTAGTTCACTTAAGGTAATGGCCTCTGGCTGTATCCATGTTGCTACAAATAACAGTTTCGTTCTTCTTTATGGCTGTGTAGTATTACATGTTGCATATGTACCACATTTTCTTTATCCAATCCACTGCTGATGGGCACTTGGTTTGGTTGCATGTCTTTGCTATTGTGACTAGTGTTGCAATGAATGTATGGGTGTGTGTAGTGTATGTATCTTTTCGGTGGAACAATGTATTTTCCTTTGGGTGTATATCCAGTAATGGGGTTGCTGGGTAACTTGGTAGTTCAGCTCTGAGTTCTTTAAGAAATCTGCAAACTGCTTTCTACAGTGACTGAACTAATTCACATTCCCACCAACAGTGTACAAGAACTCCCTTTTCTCCGCAGCCCCACCAGCAGCTGTTATTTTTTGACTATTTAACCAAAAGCCATTCTGACTGGTATGAGACTGTATCTCACTATGGTTTTGATTTGCGTTTCTCTGATGATTAGTGATGATTAGCATCTTTTCATATGTTTGATGGTTGTTTGTCTTCTTTTCAATAGTGTCTGTTCATGTTCTTTGACCATTTTTTAATGGGGTTATTGGTTTTTTGCTTGTTTGCTTAAGTTTCTTGTAAATTGTGGATATTAGTCCTTTGTTGGATGAATAGTTTGTGAATATTTCTCCCATTCTGTAGGTTGTCTGTTGTATTAGTCCATTCTCACACTGTTAATAAGTACGTACCAAGACTGGGTAATTTATAAAGGAAACAGTTTTAATTGACTCATGGTTCCACATGGCTGGGGAGACCTCACCATCATGTCACGAGGCAAAGGAGAAGCAAAGTCATGTCTTACATAGAAGCAGGCAAGAGAGCTTGTGCAGGGGAACTGCCCATTATAAAACCATCAGCTCTCCTGAGACTTACTCACTGTCATGAGAACAGCATGGGAAAAACCCACCCCCATGATTCAGTTACCTCCCACCAGGTCCCTCCCATGATACATGGGCATTATGGGAGCTACAATTCAAGATGAGATTTGGGTGGGGACACAGACAACGACATCATTTTGCCCTGGCCCCTCCCAAATCTCATGTCCTCACATTTTGAAACACAGTCATGCCCTTCCAACAGTCCCCTAAAGTCTTAACTCGTTTCAGCATTGACTTGAAAGTCCACAGTCCAAAGTCTAATCTGAGACAAGGCAAATTTCTTCTGCCTATGAGCTTGTAAAATTAAAAGCAAGTTATTTACTTCCCAGATACAATGGGGGTATAGGCATTAGATAAATACACCCATTCCAAATGGGAGAAATTGGCCAAAGCAAAGAGGTCACAGGCCTCATGCAAGTCTGAAATCCAGCAGGGCAGTCAGTTCTTGAAGCTCCAAAGTGATCTTCTTTGACCCCATGTCTCACATCCAGGTCACTCTGATGTAAGAGGTGGGCTCCCAGGACCTTGGGCAACTCTGTCCCTGTGGCTTTGCAGGATACAGACCCCCCCCTGGGTTGAGTTTCTGCAGCTTTTCCAGGAACACAGTGCAAGCTGTCAGTAGATCTACCATTCCAGGGTCTGGAGGAGGGTGGCTTTCTTCCCACAGCTCCACTAGGCAGTACCACAGTGGGGACTGTGTGGGGGCCCCGACCCCACATTTCCCTTCTGTGTGCACATAAGCAACTTCTTACCAGTTCTGCATGAGTTGTTTTAGGTAATATAAATACAAGACCAACAATCTCTTATCTCCAAATTCATATTTCATTTTCCTCCAAGATATCAGGACCTTAGATACAAGATGGTGATTACACCACGTAAATACAATAAATCCAGAATGTGTGCGTGTGTACAATCTGTTTAGCTGTAATCTGTTCTCAACATGCAAACTGGTTATGTTTGAAAATGAAGTTTTGAGCTAAAAATATATTTCCTTAAAAAATAGTGATTAGATTTCCAAGTGAGTTCATAAGACTCCATTTATCATATAAAGTATATAAAAGGAAAACGATTAAAGGAATGGTAAGGATGAGAATGTGGATCCTGGGAAATTAAGGAGCAGTGGTTAGAAGAGGTTTTTTCTCTCAGCCCTTCTGTTTGCATTCTCTTCATTTTTGCCGCTCAGGTTATCAAGGACTGCAATTACAGAAGATGAATAAAGACGTTTAAGAATAAATTGAGAAATACAAGTCAAGACCTTTACATGTTCATTATATTTCATAATTCTAAGTTGGCAACAGACAGATGTATATCCAAAAATAATGATGTGCTTTTTAAAATTTTTCTTTTCTTCCTCATTTCTTTCATATCACATCAGATCAAAATTCTAGTTCACTGGGATTATAGCAAGGTAAGAAGTAACCACCAGGCTAATGTGTGTGTGATAGTGTAGAGTGAGAAACTGCATCTTGCCAGGGAGAGGATTTACAGTAATTTGGAGAAAAGTGAGCAAAAAACAGAGAGTTTGAAAAGCAGAGAGGAGGAACTGGAATGGGCTCTTTCTCTGTAGTGCATAAAAGCAAGTGTTTACAAAGTCTTACAACTTAGAACTTTAAAAGTAGCTGTAAGTCTATCTTGTACAATATTTTACTAAATTCAAGAATTTCTTCCGAAATTTTCTTAAAAGTTAGTCTTAAAAGTGTCATAAGACACTTTCTCAGTAGGAGTTATTCTCTCAGTAGCAACAAGGGAGGGAGGGAAGTAAGTGGTTGAGCACATGGGCTCTGGAGGAGATTGTTTTGTTCGAACTCCTGATCCCATTGCCAACAGGACCCTAGTCAAGGCTTTGAATTTCTTTGTATTTCAATCTCCTCATTCCCAATCCCCACCCAAAATGGACAAAATAATAAAGTATGTTAAGTAGCAAACCTATAAATTTATGTAAAGTGATTAGAAAATACTGAACAGATCAAAATCATTGAAGAAAAAATTAAAATTTATTATCTTCCATTAAAAATAATAACAGAAGAATATGGTAACTTTGACATATTTATTTCATACTGCCCCAAAACCTTCACTTAGCTAATAGAAAATGAATAATATAACAATAACAACAATAGCCATAATAGCAACAATTAAAAAATACAAACCCATACAGACAAAGAAAACAGGAGAAAAATTAGTAGGTAAGAGACGGCTACATTTTGGAAATAACATTTGTGAATGAAAAATTAAAAAAGATGATTGCCTACAATGCAGATATCTCAAAAATTATATTTATCCTGGCAAAAATCTCTATAAAGAAGTGCTATTAGCCAGGTGTGGTGGTGCGTGCCTGTGGTCCCAGCTACTCGGGAAGCTGAAGTGGGGGATCGCTGGAACCCGGGAGGCGGAGGTTGCAGTGAGCAGAGATCGCACCACTGCACTCCAGCCTCAGTGACAGAACAAGAATTTGTCTAAAAAAAATAAATTTTTTAAAAATTAAAATAAATAATACATAAATAAATAAAGTAGTGCCATGGGAGGTGATGCAAATAGGAAAAAAAAATGTTTTAAGAAACTGGAATCCTGTATACACATCCTCAATCTAATATTGCCAGGCTTCTACCTCTCTGAAATCAGACAGCTGGTGGTTGTTATCCTGGAAAACATCTTATGTCCTATAAGAAGAGTTCTCTGAGACAGCAACCACAGCTGAGTAACATACAGAAATCAGGGAAGTTAAGGGTAGAAATTCTACATACTAATGGGAGACACTTTATTAATCACCTGTTACTGCTAGGTTCCTACAAGGAACAGTGACAGTGGTACCCTCAGAAGGAGATCAGAAGATTGCACTGTAGTTGCCTGAACCACTCAAGAGAAAAGGCTTGGAGATACTGATATTTGCATGCCATCCCTCAAAGTCATGATCTATCTATAGTCAATACTTAAAATTCACTCAGGAATTAAAATGAATAAAACAGAAATAAATGAAACAAGATGGATAAAATTTCATAAGCATTATGTTGAGATAAACAATGTTTCAGGATATATTCAATTTACAAACATTTTTCTCATACAAAACAATAATATATATTTGAGGAATATGCATATGTGTATGAATGTATGAAAACATGAATGGGAATGTATCAAACCATCTTAAGAGGCTATCGTTAAAAGGTGATCTCTAAGAGGAAAGAATGGAATGTGTAAGTCCTATCTGTATCTCTATCATTTTGTTATAAAAGAAAACTGAAGCAAATCTGGAAAAATCATTTTTTGTATTTTAGGTTTTTTTAATATATAAAAAAAAATTTTTTTAAATAAAGATATTTCTTCTGCTTAAGGATAGAGTAAATAACAGCATCTGGCTATTTCAGGACACTAAATTGCTGAAAGAGAAATGGGTGCTAGGTAAAGATAGGACACCAAAAGGCCATTTCCTGAAGCATTCTCAATGATGGTTGAGCAAGATGACAGTGTCCTCTTTCAGGACACCTGACATCCAAGAAGGCACCTTTTATATTACTTAAAAGTATCAGGATCAGGATGTCAAGAACATGGGAAGATACTGAGAGCACTAAAGCATCAACGCAGAGTTTTGCACAAGTAGATGAAAAGACCAAAAGACACTGATAATAAAACAGTGAAGAAGAATTTAAGTAAAAGGAAGAAAATGCTAATTCTGATTTGATGGCTAACTTAATACAACTGTTAAGTTTAACCTAACGCTGCCTCCTTACATATTTTAAATTCGGCTTAATGATTTCTTTGTACATAGTGAACTATATCTAACTGAATGTGTAAACAGACTGTAATCTACTGTTGTGCCAATCACCGAGTTTCAGCCAATCAAAGATGGCCAACTGTTACAACTGTTAAAGTAAGGCAAAAGCCAAATTGTCTGTTTTGGTACTTCACTTCCGTTTTCTCTATGTCACTTTCCTTTTTCTATCCATGAATCTTCTTTGACCAAGAGACAGCACTGGATCATCTCTGAACGTATTTTGGTTCAGCGGCTGCCCAATTTGTGAATCGTTCTTTGCTTGATTAAATTCTGTTAAATTTAAGATTTTTCTTTTAACACAACTCTACATAGGCTAAAGCGTGGGTATTCTTTTCATTCAGTAACAAAGAACCATCAGTCTTGATAAGAAAATGGTTCAGAAAGAGGCATATAAAGAAATGGGTACAGTTCAGAAACAACAATAGGATGGTGGGTTTTGTACTGTTCTAAGGAACAATGACATTCTGTAGAGGTTTTGCAGGATCAGTCAAGTTATATGAGAAGGAAACTGGGGAAGTGTCTTTCAAGTTGCCTCTTCTGTGTTCATCAGAAAAACTCCATTTTTTATTTGTTTTACATATTAGATATATATATATAATGTTTGTAGGAAAAAGGCTATAATACTTAAATACATATTTGAAATAATAGACAAAAGGACACATAAATTATAGGATAGCTTTATAAGTCTGCCTGACTTCATCATTTTTCATTTTTATTTTTATTTATTTATTTATTTATCTATTTATCTATTTATTTATTTTTGAGACGGAGTCGCGCTCTGTCGCCCAGGCTGGAGTGCAGCGGCCCGATCTCGGCTCACTGCAAGCTCTGCCTCCCGGGTTCCCGCCATTCTCCTGCCTCAGCCTCCCGAGTAGCTGGGACTACAGGTGCCCGCCACCACGCCCCGCTAATTTTTTTTGCATTTTCAGTAGAGACAGGGTTTCACCGTGTTAGCCGGGATGGTCTCGATCTGCTGACCTCGTGATCCGCCCGCGTTGGCCTCCCAAAGTGCTGGGATTTACAGGCATGAGCCACCGCTCCCGGCCCAACATTTTTTAATTTTAATGATTTAATTTTAATTTTAATGAAAGTCTTACAGATACTGCATTTAATTAATCTAGCCAAAACTGATTATTAATTCCACATAAAGTAAAATTCTGCTTTGTTTCTAGATCGTCAATCTTTTTAAAAAATGAATTTGCAGAAGAGATAATAACTTTAAGTAGTAGCAAATTAAACAATATGGTGAAAATTCAGTGTCTCAATGATGACAGCCATTGAGTTTGAAAACACACGTATTTGCATGTGTCTCCCCTCCCACTGTCCACATCGTGTAGCAGAATCTAAATTTGCTAGATTCTGACACAAGAAAAACTAGTTAGAATAACTCTTATGTATTAAAGAAATACTATCAATAATTAATAACTTCCTAAATATAAAGTACCAGTCCCAGATGGGTCCACTGGTAGAATCTACCAAACATTTATGAAAAATATTATAACAATTCCTTACAATCTTTTTCAGAAGACAGAATCAGAGGGAATATTTCCTAACTCATTCAATGAGGCTAATATTAAAACAGCACAATGATATTACAGTAAAAGAAAACTGCATACCAATGTTTCACATGAGTGTGTATGAAAAATCCCCAACAAGACAAGACTAGTCATTGTAGTTTCACTGATTGGAACAAATTTAGATTCCCCTGCAGGATGTGGACAGTGGGAGGGGAGACGCATGCAAATTTAGATTCTGCTACAGGATGTGGACAGTGGGAGGGGAGACGCATGCAAATTTAGATTCTGCTACAGGATGTGGACAGTGGGAGGGGAGACGCATGCAAATTTAGATTCTGCTACAGGATGTGGACAGTGGGAGGGGAGACGCATGCAAATTTAGATTCTGCTACAGGATGTGGACAGTGGGAGGGGAGACGCGTGCAAATTTAGATTCTGCTACAGGATGTGGACAGTGGGAGGGGAGACGCATGCAAATTTAGATTCTGCTACGGGATGTGGACAGTGGGAGGGGAGACGCATGCAAATTTAGATTCTGCTACAGGATGTGGACAGTGGGAGGGGAGACGCGTGCAAATTTAGATTCTGCTACAGGATGTGGACAGTGGGAGGGGAGACGCGTGCAAATTTAGATTCTGCTACAGGATGTGGACAGTGGGAGAGAAGACGCATGCAAATTTAGATTCTGCTACAGGATGTGGACAGTGGGAGGGGAGACGCGTGCAAATTTAGATTCTGCTACAGGATGTGGACAGTGGGAGGGGAGACGCGTGCAAATTTAGATTCTGCTACAGGATGTGGACAGTGGGAGGGGAGACGCGTGCAAATTTAGATTCTGCTACGCGATGTGGACCGTGGGAGGGGAGACGCGTGCAAATTTAGATTCTGCTACAGGATGTGGACAGTGGGAGGGGAGACGCGTGCAAATTTAGATTTAGCTGCAGGATGTGGACAGTGGGAGAGGAGACGCATGCAAATTTAGATTCTGCTACAGGATGTGGACAGTGGGAGGGGAGACGCGTGCAAATTTAGATTCTGCTATGCGACGTGGACAGTGGGAGGGAGATGCATGCAAATTTAGATTCTGCTACAGGATGTGGGCAGTGGGAGAGAAGACGCATGCAAATTTAGATTCTGCTACAGGATGTGGTACAGTGGGAGGGGAGACGCGTGCAAATTTAGATTCTGCTACAGGTATGTGGGCAGTGGGAGAGAAGACGCATGCAAATTTAGATTCTGCTACAGGATGTGGACAGTGGGAGGGGAGACGCGTGCAAATTTAGATTCTGCTATGCGATGTGGACAGTGGGAGGGGAGACGCATGCAAATTTAGATTCTGCTACAGGATGTGGGCAGTGGGAGAGAAGACGCGTGCAAATTTAGATTCTGCTACAGGATGTGGACAGTGGGAGGGGAGACGCATGCAAATTTAGATTCTGCTACAGGATGTGGGCAGTGGGAGAGAAGACGCATGCAAATTTTAGATTGTGCTACAGGATGTGGACAGTGGGAGGGGAGACGCGTGCAAATTTAGATTCTGCTACAGGATGTGGACAGTGGGAGGGGAGACGCGTGCAAATTTAGAATTTCTGCTACAGGATGTGGACAGTGGGAGGGGAGACGCGTGCAAATTTAGATTCTGCTACAGGATGTGGACAGTGGGAGGGGAGACGCATGCAAATTTAGATTCTGCTACAGGATGTGGGCAGTGGGAGAGAAGACGCATGCAAATTTAGATTGTGCTACAGGATGTGGACAGTGGGAGGGGAGACGCGTGCAAATTTAGATTCTGCTACGCGGATGTGGACAGTGGGAGGGGAGACGCGTGCAAATTTAGATTCTGCTACAGGATGTGGACAGTGGGAGGGGAGACGCGTGCAAATTTAGATTCTGCTACAGGATGTGGACAGTGGGAGGGGAGACGCGTGCAAATTTAGATTCTGCTACAGGATGTGGACAGTGGGAGGGGAGACGCGTGCAAATTTAGATTCTGCTACAGGATGTGGGCAGTGGGAGAGAAGACGCATGCAAATTTAGATTCTGCTACAGGATGTGGACAGTGGGAGGGGAGACGCGTGCAAATTTAGATTCTGCTACAGGATGTGGACAGTGGGAGGGGAGACGCGTGCAAATTTAGATTCTGCTATGCGACGTGGACAGTGGAGGGAGATGCATGCAAATTTAGATTCTGCTACAGGATGTGGGCAGTGGGAGAGAAGACGCATGCAAATTTAGATTCTGCTACAGGATGTGGACAGTGGGAGGGGAGACGCGTGCAATTTAGATTCTGCTACAGGATGTGGACAGTGGGAGGGGAGACGCATGCAATTTAGATTCTCCTACGCGATGTGGACAGTGGGAGGGAGACGCATGCAAATTTAGATTCTGCTACAGGATGTGGGCAGTGGGAGAGAAGACGCATGCAAATTTAGATTCTGCTACAGGATGTGGACAGTGGGAGGGGAGACGCATGACAAATTTAGATTCTGCTACGCGATGTGGACAGTGGGAGGGGAGTCACGTGCAAATTTAGATTCTGCTACAGGATGTGGACAGTGGGAGGGGAGACGCGTGCAAATTTAGATTCTGCTACAGGATGTGGGCAGTGGGAGAGAAGACGCATGCAAATTTAGATTCTGCTACAGGATGTGGACAGTGGGAGGGGAGACGCATGCAAATTTAGATTCTGCTACAGGATGTGGGCAGTGGGAGAGAAGACGCATGCAAATTTAGATTCTGCTACAGGATGTGGACAGTGGGAGGGGAGACGCGTGCAAATTTAGATTCTGCTACAGGATGTGGACAGTGGGAGTGGTAGACGCTTGCAAATTTAGATTCTGCTACAGGATGTGGGCAGTGGGAGAGAAGACGCATGCAAATTTAGATTCTGCTACAGGATGTGGACAGTGGGAGGGAGACGCGTGCAAATTTAGATTCTGCTGCAGGATGTGGACAGTGGAGGGAGACGCGTGCAAATTTAGATTCCGCTGCAGGATGTGGACCGTGGGAGAGGAGACGCGTGCAAATTTAGATTCCGCTGCAGGATGTGGACAGTGGGAGGGGAGACGCATGCAAATTTAGATTCTGCTACGCGATGTGGACAGTGGGAGGGGAGACGCATGCAAATTTAGATTCTGCTACAGGATGTGGACAGTGGGAGGGGAGACGCGTGCAAATTTAGATTCTGCTACAGGATGTGGACAGTGGGAGAGAAGACGCATGCAAATTTAGATTCTGCTACGCGATGTGGACAGTGGGAGGAGAGACGCGTGCAAATTTAGATTCTGCTACAGGATGTGGACAGTGGGAGGGAGACGCGTGCAAATTTAGATTCCGCTGCAGGATGTGGACAGTGGGAGGGAGACGCGTGCAAATTTAGATTCCGCTGCAGGATGTGGACCGTGGGAGAGGAGACGCGTGCAAATTTAGATTCCGCTGCAGGATGTGGACAGTGGGAGGGGAGACGCATGCAAATTTAGATTCTGCTACAGGTTGTGGACAGTCGGAGGGGAGACGCATGCAAATTTAGATTCTGCTACAGGATGTGGACAGTCGGAGGGGAGACGCGTGCAAATTTAGATTCTGCTACGCGATGTGGACCGTGGGAGGGGAGATGCATGGACGTGGATGGGGATTTGTGGAAACTCTCTGGATTTTGTGTTCAATTTTACTGTGAACCTAAAACTGCTCTAAAAAATAAAGTTTATTTAAAATATCTTGAAGACTATTTTTATTCATTTCAAACTTTTATAACGAGTATGTTCAAAATTACTGGTGTAATTAAAATAAATCTGTATCTCCATGTTTTAATCTTACATTGTCATTCCCTTTGACGGATCCTCCAGATACTCTAATATCCCATCTTACCTGCTTACAGCCACTGTCTCCCCCTCCCTGCCTCCATCTTTCTCCCTCTTCCTTTTATTTTTTCTCCTTCCTTCTCTACCCCTCAGTTTTCCTTCTTTTGGATTCTTATGCTGTGAACAGTAGACATTTTTTAAATTACCGTAAGTATTGAGGGCATATGACACAAACTTATGGTGGAATTAGGGCAGCCGAGCACAGTGTCTCTGCATTCACAGAACTGGGTCTTAGTTCGGGCCTCAGGCAGGACTGGGTCTGAGTTCAGGAAACTATCGTCAGATAAAACCAAGTGTCTGGCTCTGTGATTGCCAGTCTGGTGACTCAACTTTCTGTCTCTATCTGCTCTTATAATCACAAGACCCACTACTTCTCTTTGCTTGCCTGACATTTAGACTAGTTTTAATAAAGTCCATTTGACCCTACTAATTACCAGGAAAATAAAACATGCCTTTGGGCACACACACCTCACATGAGCCCCTGTACTAGCCAATTAATGTGTAAAAGCTCTACCAAATGGTGTCTTTTCTTGGTCTATTAACCAATTATACAAATATCCCTCCTCTAACAGTCTTGATAGAGATTCAATCTAGATCCAAATTCTATGAAGTTCACGTGTATTAGTTTACCAGTCCACTTCAGTTATCTGCTAAAGCCTTTGCGTTGTCCAGTTTTCTAGTTTTAAACGATCAGAGGAGACCGTCTGGTAGATGAGACACTTTGGTAATATGTGGTAGTAGCACCAAAGGCCATCTGTAGAGAAAAATCATGAAATTCTTTAATTACTTTGAATTCTGTATAAAAAATAGAAATATAAAAATAGTTTCTGTGATTTAAAATTGCTATTAAATAAAGACTTGTCATATGCTTTTTAAAAAATTGTCCTTTTTAGGCAGAGAAGTAGTGCATGAGTTGGCAATTATTTAACTTATTGGTATAGATACATCTATATTTATACTTATATGTATTTGTGTAGTGTGTGTACTTGTATGTGTATACATAAAAGAACACTAATGACTAAATATTGAACTTGATGACTTACATTGGAAACCCCGAGAAAGAAGGATGTCTTATTTGCGTCACGTACTACGCCATAGCACACACTTAGTACTCAGAAAGTTAAATAATAATAATAACAATTGTGTAATAAAAATGGTCACGGGGACAAACTGGTAGAGGGAGAATGAAGTCCAGTAATAATAACTGATACAATACTAGTCTCCAGAAGAACATGTAATTTTTCATCTCTTTTACCCCCAAGATACTCTTAGAATTATTCAGGTGAAGTCTGACTCACAGAACTCCCAGCATGTACAAATGCAAGAATTTATAGTCCAAGTTTGTTGTAAGTAATGGATCAGTGCACATCTGGGAGAAAAGCATAAAAGAACAGTCAGATTGAGGTGTTTTATTTTTCATTCAATCTCATTTATTTGAACATTTATTAAATCTGCAGTGGGTGGTTAACTCATACTGTGGATGTCTCCAAGCCCTCAGGAGAGTGTTCATCCAAGAGACAGAGAGAGCCCCTGAGGGTCTATTTGGCAGAGACTGACAAAGAGACGAAAATATTTGAAAACATGCTATCTTCTCCAGACATTTGTCTGTACATTTGTATAACAGCTGTGGGTGAGACTTTTTCCCACTACTCAATGTTCTTTTCTCCCAAGCTGAGTGTAATTTTAAATATCTACACACACTGTGAATAGACATAGGGCATCACCTAAATTCAAATAACAGTCTCTAGTCAGTGATGGTTTATGTGTAACCTAAACACTTTCTGGCCAAACTGGGGAGGGAGGGAAGGAAGGAAGGAAGGCAAGCTGTTAAAATGATGGTTTATGTGTAACCTAACACTTTCTGGCCAAACTGGGGAAGGAGGGAGGGAGGGCGGGCAGCCAGGCTGGCTGGCTGTTACAATGATGGTTTATGTGTAACCTAAACACTTCCTGGCCAAACTGTGGGGGCGGGGGTAGGGAGGGAGGGAGGGAGGGACGGAAGGAAGGAAGGAAGGAAGGAAGGAAGGAAGGAAGGAAGAAAGGAAGGAAGGAAGGAAGGAAGATTGTTACAGTGATGGTTTATGTGTAACCTAAACACTTTCTGGCTAAACTGGGGAGGGAGGGAGGGACGGAGGGAGGGAAGGAAGGAAGGAAGACTGTTACACTAGAGATTTCAAAATAAAATTTAGGGGAGAGTAGTAGTACATAAACTATTAATAACCAATATGTTATAATAATTTAACTAAAATGAACAAAATTCCTATTATGGTATCTATGAACATGCTTTCTTAGAGTAAAATATTCTCATATCTTGGTAGGGCACTGGTTAAAAACAGCAAGGATTTAGAAGTCGAAGTCTTATCAAGTAAGTAGCAGACCCGTCTTCAGACCCTTTACAGAGTTATCCAAAAAGCAGTCATTGAAACAAGAGCAGATAATTTTTCTAGCTTTCTATTAAGTTTAGATGTTAATGTTACTACAAAATTTAACTTTCTTATAAAATTACCTGATAAAGTTTTATACAATATTATGATATAGTATATCAAAATTTATTTATATGTCAAATTTTACATGATATTGGAGACGCATGGATTGATGATGCGTATATGATGATTTTATGATAAGTTCCACTTAAATTCAGACAATTTCATTAGGCAGTGTCTGTCGACCACTAATTTTTTTTTTGGTTCCACTATTTGCACAGACAGCACAGCTGGGAAAACAGATTCACCCGACACAGTATCTTCCCCGCGTCTTTCTCCTCCTCAGGGAATCAGTTCATCAGTCAATCAAGTCATTTGGGACTGGAGGCTGAGTACTCCCTAACGTAGAAGGTCTCATTCCTGCATGCTTTCTTCAGCAGAGGGGGAGACGAGAAGGTCCTTTTAGGGGACACTTGCTGGGACATGCACTAACCCTTCTACAGTTGGAGGGCTCCCACCTGCAGAGGCAGACTCTGCCGCAGTAGGAAGGGATGAGGCAGCTATTCTGAACCTGGAGCTCCACCACACCTTGCCCCGTCTCACTGAGGCAGTTTTGAGAGGCTGCCCTGGAATACGTCTTGCTGGTGGATGTTGGGAAACAACGTGGGCTTTGATGGGATTCAGGTGGTGTCCGCAGTGTGAAGACAGGAGCTGATGCTCAGCATTTAGGCTGTTTTTCTTGTGATCAGTTGGGTTACCTGTTTGGGACCAAGTCCATCTTTACTAGGGAGGCTGGGTAAATTCCACAGAACACAGTGGCGCTCCCAGGATGACTGAGGCAGGGTGAGAAAGGGGGAAAGTTTTTCCACCTACACTTTTTGCTACCTCAGGAAATAGGGGCTGATTAGGTTACATCTGGCTCTTATCTAATCAATTCGATTTTGGTGCATTTGATCTAATTATCTTCCCCATTTTTTAGGTAGGAAGGGCCATTTTATTTGGTATTTACTTTTTCTCTGCAGTTTTATTTCATCATATATGTATGGATCTAATACAGTCAACCATATCTTGATATTTGTTGTTTCCAAGCATTTGAGAAATTATAATATCTATGTATATAATTTTAACCCTATAATAAATTATCTTCTGTGCAAAATATGTAACATATATCAATATAGGTATGTTTAATTCTGCATCTTGAAAGGTGAACAGGATCATAAATCCTTCCAGGTAGGAACTGGGACAGAAATCGGAAGAAATAATTCCCCAATCTTCTGATCCCTGTGCTCCCAGTTCTTTGTTTCTTGTCACTATGACAGGATCCTGAAAATGTCTCCCCTTAACTGTGTCTAGGTCCCCAGTAGAACTACAGCAAGAAACTTTTCTTATTGGGGCTCTAATGAGTGGCAGGAAAGAGAAACCTGTTCAGCCAATAAGAGTAAGCCACGCCCAGCCAAGGGACCTATAAAAGGCAGGTCCAGCCGATAAACCCACACTCTGCATTTGGACGTGTAAGATAGTAGAGAAGGGTCTCTACAATTTAAGTAGCAGAGGGATAAGACAGCGCACCTTTCACTTGAGCTTCAACATGGGAAAGGGAAACGAAGACCCCTATCTCCACTGCTCCTCCATCCAATGTTCCACTGACCAGCCCCCTTTCCAACAGATCTCCTTTACAGGAAAGGGCTCAGATGAGAAGAAACCGTTCAAAGGAAAAGGCAAGACCGCCTCTTCCCATTCCAGTGAGAAGCACATACAAAGGCAAGGTAAGGCCTTGGGCTGCTCCTATGGAGGCTGGAAGGAGGGTTGGAATCAGGGATACTGAGCTATGTGTCTTTGGTAGGGTTTTGTTTTGAGATTGGGGATGGGAAATGGCTTAGCGCCCTCAGGGGACTTTGAGAAACGTGTTCACTCATGACGCTGGCAAAAGAGCTTCACTTGAAAGACAGATCCGCAAAAATGCATCAGAGATAGAATATGGGACCCTGCCTAGGGAGAGGTGAGTCACCTAAGCTTTCTTTTGCAGTAGGATTAGAGCCAAATCCAAAAATCCAAAAGAGGAGGAGAAGTCCCAGGAGACCAAGCCCAAAGCCAGAAACAGCACTGCTAGATTAGGTAAGATTTGACTCTTTGAAGGTGAGAAGGGACAGGGCAACAACACAGGCTTTCCTGGCAAGGAAACTGGGAGCTCCTTGGCAGCCAGGGCCATACAGATCCTGGACACTGCAGAACAGAAGAGAGCTGGGGTTTGGTGGCAACCTGAGCTCCTGCGTGTCCAGGATGGACTAGGAATTTCAGGGTATTCAGTTGGAGGCACTATTTCAAACTCTCATTGGATTCAAAGAACCAGAGTCCAGCTCATATTGGGGAAACTTCACGAAAAGAAAAATCAGTTCCAAGGACAGCTGCCAAGACAGAGCAGGTATAATCTTGGTGTTTTTTCTTGGTAATGGTGGTGTTTTTGTTGTTTGTTTGTTTGTTTTTTGTGGCCCCAAAGGGCAAATAATCAGGAAGCTTTTATACATGTCTTCAGCAGGAAGGGAGTTTCTTAGTGACAAGTAAATTTTTGAGATCTTAGCTCTGAGAATATTTGGGGACTCACAAGGGGTTCAGCCTCACTTCATTCCAGTGCTGAGATGGTCAGGAAGGAGTGGGAGAGACAAGTGGGGTTCACCTGGGTGCACAAGAGGTTCTGGAAATGAGGGTCTGTGGGGACTGCTCTGACGAGTCTCTCACATGCATTCTCTGCAGGGAACTGTCCAGAAGAGGAACGCAGCTTGATGTTAAAAAAAAAAAAAAATCAAAGTCCTCCACTGCTGTGCACTACAGTGAAATCCAGGAGATCTGTGATGCCCACCATAAGGGACATTCGAGGGCTTGCACTGGGCACAGCCAGTGGCACAGGTCTGGGGCCCTAGGATTCCAATGACCGGCACTTGGAAAAAGCTTGGTGACCTCTGTTGGAGCTATGCTGGAGGCTACTTATCAAGACCTAGCCCAGGTGTGGGCACAGCAGGTCCATTTTCCACTGACCTGAGAGCAGCTCACATTGCTGACTTGGATCTGGGGGCCTCTGTGTGCCCAGGTGCAGACCTTCTATGCCATTGCCACCCAGGGAGCTTAAGTCTTACCTGCTGAGGGTTGGCTTGTCTCAGCCACACTGTCTGGTCCTGGGGATAGAGGCCTGAATAGAGAAGCTCACCCTTTTTTGGGCATGATGTAACTGAGCATGTCAGTGGATCAGATGAGGCTTGAGCTGAGAGGACCCTGGCCCTATTCAGCAGAGGATGCAGCTCTGGGAATGAGAACAAGGACCTGCTACTGCTCAGATTTTTCTAGATGACCAGCAGTGACAATATTAGATGCACTGTGTTAATAAATGACAGAACATGAAGAAATCATAGGAAATAAATTTGAACAATATAATCAGAATGGTAAGCTCTGCATTTTGTAAAAGGCCGATGCTATAGACAAATTTTATATTTCATGTTAGATATGGAGGTCTGGTGACAGTCATGCATTTCTATGTAATCAGGAAAATATTAGAATGTGATCATATGAGTTTGCATATTTTAGATTGTAGAAAAGAAATGTTACCCAGGCTGGAATGCAGTGACACAATCTTAGCTCACTGCAACCTCCGCTTCCTGGGTTCAAACAATTCTCATGCCTCAGCCTCTCAAGTAGCTGGGACTACAGGCATATACCACCATGCCTGGCTTATTTTTTTTTTTTTTTTTTGTATTATTAGTACAGACAGAGTTTTGTCACGTTGGCCAGGTTGGTCTCGAACTCAAGTGATACGCCAGCCTTGACCTCCTAAAGTGCTGGGATTACAGGCATGAACCGCCTTACCAAGAAATTGCTCCTCTTTTATTTCAGAATAGGTTGTAGGCTCTCACTCTTCTAGCCTGAACCCGTGAAGTACTAATATCCAAAAAACATTAATAGCACTTGCTGTGGAAAAATGATTACACATTTTAAAGTTTGATATAATTATAGTAAAATTACCATGCAAGGTGTTTACTTTTAATATTTTTACAAAAAAATTAAGTAACGATATATTAAATGGTAAATGAGTGTACTCATTTATTCACCTGCCTCATGTTTTCATTATAAACATCCTAAATTAAATCCTATTGTATCTTACACATTTCAATTGATTGTATTGTATTGCAGGATATGGAGATTTCATAATATACTACAATAAAGTGTATTTTGTTATATTTAACATATATTCTACTTGTATTTTATATTGAGGTCATACAATCTTTCATTATTTGTTTTAATTATTTGGTTGCTTTATAATTTTCATTATATGTAATAATGTACATTGATGTTGTTTGGAATTTTAAATTTCAAGATAATTTTGTCTTACTTTCATATGGAATTAGTGTTTACTATAGATGTGAAAAAGAGAATGACTTATCTTTATTTCTGTGTCATCCTAACCCTGACCTCCCCACTGCCCATAGCTCTTGTCGTAGTCGGGAAATCGTGTTCTGTCACTCCAGTAAACGGGGCGATTCGATGATACCACACAGATATAAATTGCAGATGTAGAGCTTTTGTTCAAGACCAGTGCAACGGAAAAAAATCACAGGCATGTGAGTCACACAATTTTCGGGTTGTCAGTGCTTATAAAAATTATGCTTAAACTGTGCTGTAGAATAAGTCTGAAACACCCTTACGTCTATTAAACAAATGCACATACCTAAATAACGTGTCTAAATGGGAATGTAAATATCTTCACGAAACGTACTTTGTTGCAAAGTACACTTGCAACAAATAACAGTAACACAGAGATACAGTAGCATCATATAAGGTTGAAGAAATAGAGATGAGAAGAAAAACAGAGACAGCGAGAAAGGGAGAGACGGAGAGAGGAAAAGACAGACGGCGGCGGGGACATTGGAGAGGAGAAAAGAGAGGGAGGAAGAGAGGCGGGAAAGACAGAAGAAAGGCAGGGGAGGCGCGACGGGGCGAGGGACGGGGAGGAAAGCGGTCTCCCGCCTCCAGGGCGGGCCGAGGGCTGGGCCCGCGGGGCGCTCACGTCCCTCCGGATCGCCCGCCTGGGTCCGCTCGCCGCGGAGAGAGTCTCAGCAGTTCCGACTCCCGAGGAACGGGCGACTTCCCGAAACACCCAAGGGCCGCAGCGCAGGCGGCCGCCCGCTTTCCGCCCGCGCGGTTCACGGACCGCACATCGCCGGGCCGGGCCCTGCCACGGAGCCAGAGCCGGATGCCCCGAACACGCAGGAGTCACAGGGCGACCGGAGCGTGACTTCGGATTCCACGTTGCTTTGCCCTCTGCAAGGGGCCTGCTGGCCACTATCAAGGTATAGCAATTGAAGCAGCATGACACTAGAATAAAAACAGACATAAATACAAATGGAATGAAATGGAGAACTTAGAAACAAACTCATACAGCTAAACTAAACCTATTTTCAACAAAAGTGTCAAGAACATACAACAAAAAATAAGACAGTTTCTGTAACAAACGGGGCTGGGAAAACTGGCAAGCCATGGGCAGAAGAATGAAACTAGAACCCTACTTCTTGCCACATACAAAAATGAAAATGAATTAAAGACTTAAACCTAACGCCTCAGACTGTCAAACTTTTACAAGAAAACATTGGGGAAACTCTTTAGGGCATTGGTTTGGGCAAAAATCTCTTAAACTATGCCCCATAAGCACAGACAACCAAAGCAAACATGGACAAATGGAATTACAGCAAGTAAGAAAGCTTTTTTAAAGTGAAGGAAACAATAAAGTGAAGAGAAAACCCACAGAATGGGAGAAAATATTTGTAAATTACCCATCTGAAAAGCAATTAATAGCTACATAATATGGTTAGGCTTTGTGTGCCCACCCAAATCTCATACTGAATTGTAATCCCCAGGTGCTGAGGGAGAGACCTGGCAGAAAGTGATTGGATCATGGGGGTGGTTCCCCCCAGGCTGTTCTTCTGATAATGAGTGAGTTCTCATGAGATCTGATGGTTTTATAAGGGGCTCTTCCCCCTTTGCTTCACATACATGCTCTCTCGCCTGCTGTCGTGGAAGAGGTGCCTGCTTCCCCATCTGCCATGATTGTGAGTTTCCTGAGGCCTCTCCAGCCATGTGGAACTGTGACTCAGTTAAACCATTTCCTTTATAAATTACCCAGTCTCGCCAGGCGCAGTGGCGCATGCCTGTAATCCCAGCACTTTAGGAGGCTGAGGCAGGTGGATCACGAGGTCAAGAGTTCAAGACCAGCCTCGCCAAGATGGTGAAACCCCATTTCTACTGAAAATACAAAACTTATCTGGGCATGGTGGTGGGTGCCTGTAATCTCAGCTACTCAAGAGGCTGAGGCAGAGAATTGCTTGAACCTGGGAGTTGGAGGTTGCAGTGAACCAAGATCATGCCAGTGCACTCCAGCCTGGGTGACAGAGCAAGACTTCATCTCAATACATAAATAGATAAATAGATAAATAACCCAGTCTCAGTTTTTTTATAGCAGTGCAGAAACAGACTAATACACTACAATATATTGAGTTCAAAATATTCTATAGAAAAATTCTAGTAATCCAGTTAAAGAGTGGACAAAAACTTAAATGAACAGTTATGAAAAGAAGACATACAAATGGCAAACAGACAAGTGAAAAGGTGCTCCACATTACTATCATCATAGAAATGCAAATCAAACCCAAAATGAGATACCATTTCACCCCAATTAAGGTGGCTTTTATTTCCAGAAGTCAGTCAAAAACAAATGTTGCTAATAGCCAAGATTTGTAAGAGACCTAAATGTCCATCAGCAGATGACTGGATAGAGAAAATGTGGTACATATACACAGTGGAGTACTATTCAGCTATAAGAAAGAATGAGAGTCTGTCATTTACTGTAACATAAATGGAACTGAAAGTCTTTATATTAAGTGAAATAAGTCAGGCACAGAAAGACAAATGTCAGATGTTCTCACTTATTTGTGGGTGCTAAAATTAGAAACAATCGATGTCATAGAGATAGTATAAGGATGGATACTGGAGCTGGGAAGGGCAGTGTGGGAAATGGGGGATAGTGGGGATGCTAAATGGGTACAAAAAATTTTTAGAAAGAATGAATAAGACAGTATTTGATAGCAAAACAGGGTGATTATAGTCAAAAATAATTTAATTATACATTTTATAAAAACTAAAATACTATTTTAATTGGATTGTTTATAACACAAGCTATAAATGCTTGAGGGGACAGATACCCTGTTTTTTATTATGTATTACTCATTACATGCCTGTATCAAAGTATGTCATGTACCCCCATAAATATATACACCAAGTATGTACCCACAAAAAAATTAAAAATTAAAATTAAAATTAAAACCAAAGCGAGGAGAGTATAATGAGGCATATGTGACCCATGGCTTGAACTAGCTTTTCAGGTTAACTTTGGAATGTCCTTACCCAAGAAGAGGGTTCCATTTAGTCAATAGGGGTTTAGAAATTAATTTTTAGTTTATAAGTGGAAAAAAGAAGGATTTTTAATCCTGAGCCATAGCTCTCAATCAATCCCTGCAGGGAACCCTGTTCTTTACTCTGGAGATAAACACTAGTTTTCTTTCCCACTGAATAACACCACGTTTCAAAATGAGGGGAAACATCTTGAGACTAAGATGTACAGCCTTGTTAAATTTGATTTGATTTCAATTGTAATTAATTTAATCACGTATGTTCTAGAGTTTGTCTTCAGTCTTCTCCTACTTTAGGCCCATGATCTGTTGAATTTGCTCAGCTCCCTGCTCAATAGCAGGAAATCAGAATTATCTAAAAACCTCATTGTGGCTGTCAGCGGTGGCTCATGCCTGTAATCCCAGCAATTTGGGAGGCCAAGGTGGGCAGATCACTTGTTGTCAGGGGTTTGAGACCAGCCGGCCAACAGAGTGAAACCCCGTCTCTACTAAAGATACAAAAATTAGCTGGGTGTGGTGATTCATGCCTGTAATCCCAGCTACTTGGGAGGCTGAGGCAGGAGAATCACTTGAACCTGGGAGGCGGAGGTTTCAGTGAGCCAGGATGGTGCACCGCACTCCAGCCCGGGCAGCAGAGCAAGACTCTGTCTCAAAATGATAATAACAATAATTAATAAATAAAAATCTCATTGTGTTCCAGACAAAATTTCTTTTGCATATCAACTGTGTCAACTTGCATATTAACTATAATCATTTGTTACTTTATATCCAATCCTGAGAAATCTCTGAGGACTAATTTCACTCTTTTCTGCCATTTTGGTAAACATACCAAATGCCATCAAACAAAATGCACAAAATTCCTGAGAAATACATTTTCTCCTTGAGGAGTAGACTTGCTGTATTAGAGGAACTCATGGTTACCAAGCTTCTAGTTTAATACACATGACTAGAATACTCTATCTTAATATGAGTAGCTAGGTACTCACCAGGCATCTAGAAGGTTAATACCTATAGTCTGAAAATAGTCACATTTTTTAGCTGGCCACAAATTACAATTGCAGAATATTTATGGCCACACAAGACATCTTCCACCAAGCCTAAAAAATGTATAAATGTCCTAGGAGTGCAGCATTTTTTCTTAAAGATAATATTAATGAGCTAGCTTAGGTCAACGGGTTAATGGTCATTGTTAAAACCAATAGCCCCGACTTTAGTGAGTACATCTGCACCTTCCAAGTTTAATTATAACTCTTTCTCTTTATAGTTACTTATAAGTACAGACACTAACAAAAGACAATGCATTCCTGCTCTTGTTTTCTGAGGATGTCCAACTCCGTAATGGAGTCATTTCTAATAAACTTGCTTCTTTCACCTCAAATTTCTTCCTGCACAAGATCTAAGAATCCTACTTTGTGGTCTGTATCAGGACCCTCTTTTCCAGCAACATCTTTCAGCAATGCCATGAAGGGACACCAAGACAAGACCCCCACTCCAAGGAAAACAGTCCACACAGAATCAATCAGCTGGCAAGTGGGCTGTCTTTTAGAGTCGTGAAGCCATTCAGGTGGGCAAGAATGATTATCCACTATTACTTAAGTGAGAGGCCCTAGGGTATAATGTTAGGGTGAGAGACTCAGCCCAAAGTTAGAGACCTGGGGGTGTCATACTCAGATTAGAGGCCAAGCTCACAAGGTTAGAGGCCCTGGGGTATATTGAGAAGAATGGATTTGGCTAAACAAGATGTTTGCCACTTTCTCTTTTTGGACTGTCCACCTTGTGCTCTCTGTCCCTCACCTGAGTGCTCTGCATCTTGTCACCTTTCTGCTCACCGCCTCTGTTTTCTAGTAGCCTGGAGGCTGCCCCAGGAAAGAGGCCCCAAACAGTTTAGCTTTTACTTTTCTCAGTGATCCTCTGACTTTTAGCTGACTGCTTATTTAATTTGCCACTGGTCCAAGTGACACAAAAAAAGAGATGTCTTGGAACCTAGACAGAAAAGATCAGCAGTAACCTCTCCATCATTATGACTAGAAGTTGAAATGTATTTAACAGCCCTACATGATAAGATCAGATACGCCTGTTTAGTGAGAGCCTGTTTTATGACAACCCTTTGCAAACAGTTAGCCTCAAGATGGAGAACATGAGACTTTTTCTTAACAGTTTTCTCTCATTTCTTAACCATAAGGCCATCTTTGATGAGCTGGTATAGGGCAGCTGGACCCTACTTTCTAAACCCAGCATGTCACTTTTTTCCCGAAAGAGTTTTGTCAGTTTTGTCATAGCAGTTTTGTCATAGCATAGTTCATTTTGAAAATGGACTAATACATTACAATATACAAGTTACAGCCTTCCCATTTCCCCTGTTTGGCCTGACTTCTTTTTTTGCAGCTTAATTTGTTTTATAGAAGAGAAACTAAGTGGGAGGAAATACATTATATACAGGCTTCTCTGATGCTTGGTCAGGATAAAAAATTAAATTGGGCTTCTATATGTTTGATGGAGGAAAAGACAAAATAGGGATGGCACATAATTGATTACCCTTTTAATGCAAGTGCCTCTTAATATCAGGCTTTTCTTAGCTGGGGCTGAACTCCCCCTGCCAGTCTGAGCACCCCATAAGAACACTGTCAGACTCCTTCCAGTTCTGGTGAGGTGTGCAACATGTTATTAATTCCTTCTAGTTTTCCAGGGTTATCTAGTGTCTGGTCATCCTCTTCTCCCTGCCCTTCGAGTCCTGTCTTACATACACACCCCACTCTCGAAACACCCGAGCTTCACCAGAATAACATGCAGTGGGGCCTCTTATCAGCTGGCAAACTTGAATGTTTGCCCTCTCTGGGAAGTGACAGATGATAATAAGGACACTATATAGGTATATGTACCCTTTTCTATGTCTGAATTAGCCATATGCAAGGAGAAACTAAAACAGTTTTCAGAGGTTCTGGGAAAACTCATAGACTAATTTAAGAGGCCAACCTGGATGTATGATTTGCCCAGGCAGGATTTGCATATATTTATGTTTACCTGCTGCATGGTAGAAAAGCAGTGCATTATAGGAGTGGCTAGAGTACATGCTAATAGGGTGGCAGCCTGCAACCAGGGACATGACACCTATCAAGTAGGAGGCACAGCAGTGCCTGACTAGGACCCAAAAGAGAACTAGAATCTAGAAAAGACAAATGAATTAGGAAGAAAGTGGGATATAGAGAGATATAGAAATTGGGATAAAAAATTATGATCATTTGACTCCTTGAAGGAATAAAACCTAGCCTTATTACAAGGGTGGATAATTTAGACTTTGAGGAAAT
Organism: Homo sapiens; assembly: GCF_000001405.40. Classification (NCBI taxonomy): domain Eukaryota; kingdom Metazoa; phylum Chordata; class Mammalia; order Primates; family Hominidae; genus Homo; species Homo sapiens. The sequence continues at coordinate 116,245 of NT_187539.1, read as the reverse complement.
ACACCAACACTGACCCTGACTCCAAGAAGGGACAGGCATTGCTAGCAGTTTATTTTATAGCCCAGTCTGCTTCTGATATCTGCAGGAAGCCACCAAAAGCAGCCTTAGACTTCCAGACTCCCATGGATCAGATTTTAGATTTGGATTGTGCAGTTTTCCATCACAGGAATAGGGCAGAGACAACATAAAATAAAGCAAATCTCGCAAGAGGCCCAGCTTCTAGCTGCAGCCTTGTGCTCTCCACCACTTCAGAGGCAGCCCCTTAACCCCTGGCCCTTTCTGCATTATGGTGGTGACCACTGATGACCGTATACCTGGCCGTCGAGTGACCGGCTGTGCTGTCTTACAGGTCAGTGTGGGGCCGGAAACAACTGGGCCAAGGGACGCTACACAGAAGACACGGAGCTGATGGAGTCAGTGATGGACGTTGTCAGAAAGGAGGCTGAGAGCTGTGACTGCCTGCAGGGTTTCCAGCTGACCCACTCCCTGGGTGGGGGGACTGGGTCTGGGATGGGTACCCTTCTCATTAGTAAGATCCGGGAGGAGTACCCAGACAGGATCATAAACACATTCAGCATCCTGCCCTCGCCCAAGGTGTCGGACACCGTGGTGGAGCCCTACAACGCCACCCTCTCAGTCCACCAGCTCATAGAAAACGCGGATGAGACCTTCTGCATAGATAACGAAGCGCTGTATGACATATGTTCCAGGACCCTAAAACTGCCCACACCCACCTATGGTGACCTGAACCACCTGGTGTCTGCTACCATGAGTGGGGTCACCACGTGCCTGCGCTTCCCGGGCCAGCTGAATGCTGACCTGCGGAAGCTGGCCGTGAACATGGCCCCGTTTCCCCGGCTGCATTTCTTCATGCCTGGCTTTGCCTCACTGACCAGCCGGGGCAGCCAGCAGTACCGGGCCTTGACTGTGGCTGAGCTCACCCAGCAGATGTTTGATGCTAAGAACATGATGGCTGCCTGTGACCCCCGTCACGGCCGCTACCTAATGGCGGCTGCCATTTTCCAGGGTCACATGCCCATGAGGGAGGTGGATGAACAGATGTTCAACATTCAAGATAAGAACAGCAGCTACTTTGCTGACTGGCTCCCCGACAACGTAAAAACAGCCGTCTGTGACATCCCACCCTGGGGGCTAAAAATGTCGCCACCTTCGTTGGGAATAATGCGGCCATCCAGGAACTCTTCAAGCGTGTCTCAGAGCAGTTTACAGCAATGTTCAGGTGCAAGGCCTTCCTCTACTGGTACACGGGCGAGGGCATGGATGAGATGGAATTCACCGAGGCCGAGAGCAACATGAACGACCTGGTGTCTGAATATCAGCAATATCAGGATGCCACGGCTGAGGAGGAGGAGGATGAGGAGTATGCCGAGGAGGAGGTGGCCTAGAACTCTCCTTTTCTAGGTAAAGGGGGGAGGCAGTGTGGGTTCTTCACTGTGTTCTGACAGCCATGTGTCACTATGCGCTTGTTCATTTGTGTCTTCACATCTCCTGCTGCGTTTTAAAGCATTTTTATAGTATGCGGTTTTGCCTAATAAAGCATTTTCACAGCATCTGGTTTCACCTCCATCTTCTTTCTATGGGCCCTCTGGCTACTGCTGCCAGATGCGCATAGTTGTCCTGCAAGGCAGAAGCTGTCTGGGCTTATCACATGCCCAGGAACAAGCATTCCAGTGGCTCCAGGAGGGCTCGGCATGGGCTGTGGACATGGCAGGCAGGCTTCACATGAACTTGGGGATGCCCTGGGCCTTGGGCAGCGACGTGGTGGAAAACCTGTTCCTGAAGGCAAGCCTTGGCTTATCCCATGTGCCAAACTTCTAGGGGACCAGCTGGCCATGTTTCTGGAACTTTAAAAGGGGTCAGTGAACCCTGCTGGACAATGTCCCCAGAGTCCCATCTCGGGGTAGGAATGTGGTCAGACAGCTGGCTCTGAACCAGCAATGAAGGGTGGGCAAGTGGGACCCCAGCGACTCCATCACCACGATGGCCTGGGTGTGATTGTGTGGCCTCATTCTCTTCACGAGGTGGGCATGGGATATCTGGCAGGGACTAGGCAGGGATCAAGCCCAGTGTCTGCTAACATGCACTGAACCCCAAGTAGAAGGGGATTAGGTCCTGGGGGCCGTAGATGTGGTTGCTGGGCCTGTGACATGCACTGAACCTGATGTAGAAGGGGATTAGGTCCTGGGGGCCGTAGATGCGGTTGCTGGGCCTCTGTGCTCAGGGCAGTCCCTCCAAAGGCACAGATGGGGTTTCTGAACAGGACCTGGGGAGACAGGCAGGTGCTCACAAATGCTGCTTCCCCCAACTGGCAACCAGTGAGAAAAACGCCTGAGTGGAGGTCTGACCTGCCCCAGTCTGGAGGGCTGATGCTCTCTGGAAAGGTGGCTAATGCGTACTGTCTGCTCTCTCCCTGTCTCCCACTCCAAAACCTCAGGGCAAAAATAATCCAAGATTGCCAGGATGAGCCTGGTGAGGGTGGCACCTTTGGGGACAGGCCCTTCAGCCTGGCAGAGTCTCCTCCCCAGGCTTCTTGGGGAGCCTGGACTGCAAAAGCCTGCTTTGGGGAAGCTGTCAAATGAGAGCTGTGTGTGTGAGCTGGGCGCTGGGCAGCATGCACGGACAGTGTTCTTCTCCCTGGCTCTTGTAGAACTTGTCCACGGCCTGTGTGATGGTCTCTTGGTAATTCCCACCCCCACCCCCACCCCCAGCCCTATCGCACAGATAAGATGAAGCCAGCATAGCCTGGGGGTGGGCAGATGAACAGGTTCTACCCCAGGTCCCCTGGGAATGCCCACCTGCCTCCGACGTGTCAGGGAAAACAGGTGAGGCCCCTTCTTGTTCTCTGAATGTTGTCAATGGTCTATTGCAGCCAAATGGGAACAGGCAGGCAGGAGAGTGTCTCATCTCAAAAGAAGTGGCTCCTGGAAGCAGCTGGGAGGTGGGAGAGGTTCCCCACACTCGCCCACACTCGCCCACACTCGCCCACACTCCCCCAACCTCCCCTACACCCCCCCACACCCCCCACACTCGCCCACACTCGCCCACACTCGCCCAACCTGTTCTAAGAGCAGGAAAAGGGGCCTTTGTGACAGCCCCTCTCAGTGGCAGCCCCTCTCAGTGGCTCTCACTGTCTGAGGGGTGTCCTTGCCCAACCCAGGTGCGCACCCATCTGAGATGGTCTTGCATGGACCTGGTTAGGAAGGTTCAGCTGCAGCAACCACCGGAACCTGCCCACACCTGGTGTCTCCACTCACGTGTGGGGCTAGATGTTCCTCCCTCCTGTAGTGGTACAGCCAGACTGGCAGAGGGGGCAAGTCACCACTGCAGTTCCCACCTAGGTCTGATGGGGGGTCAGGCTTGGTGCCCATGTATTTCCCAACTACCTGGTTCCATGTGGGGGCTTCATGGACAGGAGTGGTGCTTTTCCAGGCCTCTTTTCCACATGCCAGCTACAGGCCCAGGTTTCCCAAGTTTCTGGAGCCCCTCTTCCAGCCTGGCAAGCAAGTCGTGTTGTAGGGGAAGGACATCAAGCCTACAGGCAGCAGAACCTGTCTGGGTATGTTCTCTCCACCTGGAGGCCCCTGGTTGTTTACCTCTTTGGGTGAGAGTCAGCTTAGGATCTCAACATTCTTGTAGGACTTCAGAACTGTACAGACAGGGGTCCAGGAGGGAACAGGGGCTGGGACTGGCAGCTAACCAGAGTGGTGGGTGTTGTAGGGCTGTTTGGTCTTGCGGGGAATTCAGGGAGGCTTGGATTTGCTGAAGCTGTAGACGAGCTTGGGCTTGGATACGGAAACAGCATAGAGCAGGGGCCCTTCTGCACACTGGACTCTGAGTAGTTGCACCCTGGTGTATCCACAGGTGTTCCCCACCTGGAGCACAGCTGTGGATAGAAGCCGGGAGAGCTGTGGAGGGAAGAGGAGGTGGAGGGAGTCTCAGGGCAGCCCCAGCATCCAGGCAGGGCCTCTGCAAGTTAGATACAGATCCCGCCTGTTGGCCACTCAGCAGCTGCTCGGTCGGCTGCAGATCACCTGACCTCTGTTCACCAGTAAATGGGGGTTGCAGCAGCACTTACCTTCTGGGACTCCTGCAGATTGAAGGGGCAGCACACAACACGTGCTGAGAAAGCGCCAAACTCAAGCAAGCTTCTCCAAGAGCACCACATCAGATTAACACCCAACCTGTACAGGACACCATCAAATCTCCCCACCCCTCATTCCAATGGAAGAAAAGGGAGTCTCTGTCCTAGGGGAGCAAGCACAGGCCTATCTATGCAGTGGGCACATGGCCCAGGTGGTGGAAAGGCTCTTGGATACATGCTGGTTTCACCAACCATCTGTGGGTTGGGTTTGGCCTGGACACCTGTACCCCAGGAGGCCGGCAGCCCCCTGCATGGGAGAGGACTGGGAGGCGGGTGGGAGGGCTGAGCTTTGAGGGAAGCCATTATTTGGCCTCATGGGAAGTGGTGCAGGTGGTTGTTGGTGGCTCAGTTTTGCAGGACCTGGGTGATCACCCAAGGAGTGAAAATTGCCTTTTTATGAGAAATTGCCAAAATTGATGCAAGCTTATCAGTTGAAAAGGTGAGTAATGCTGACAGTTGGCTTCACCTGCCCCTTCCCCACAAGTAACTGGTGTTCAGAGGTGGATTTGGTTCCTTCCCAGCCTTTCCCGTTTGCATGTAGATGTGTGCATGTACTTTTGTGTGTACACACACGTTCCCTGGAGGGGTTACTTTTATTTTTTTATTTGGGGGGATAACTAGTGAGGCAGCCTGACACTTGCTGATCTTGTCTTTTAAGTGTGGAGTCCTCTATGGAGTGGGCATCGGGTACTTCCTAGCTGGCCTCTGCCAGCTGTTTGGCTGCCCCAGTTTCTGCCCTTCACAGACATGCTGGCCACCTGGTGTGACATTCAGTGGCCTTGTTTGCAGCTAGTGTGATGAGACAAGTGGATCAGGTACATTATAAACTGAAAAAGCACACAACATGCAGAGGGAAAGGATAAATGACCATGTGTGTCCTGCTCTGCTGAAGTCCACATCACATGACTGAGACGACAAACATTTTTTCGCCTAACATTTGGGCCCTGAGAAAAGGCATTTATGTTTTACTTTTTATTTATAACAGAGTTAGGAGAAATACTACCAGGCTTTCTTTTCCATTATCCCCAACTCCCACTTTACCCCCTCAAGTTTACCTACCTCAGAGAGAAAGCAGAGCTCGCCTGATGAATGAGAGCCTGAAATTATTCGAGCCAGGTCACTGTGTAAAAGGTCATACTGCTTCCGTCTCCTTGTGCATCACTTGCGCAGCTCAGATATTTCATGGCTCCCTGTATACAGGTAGCTGTGTTACCCTCCTAGCCGCTTTCTTGGTTTGATACATGCCTGGGAGCATGTGGGAGCAGTTAAGGTCTGGGCTCATGGGAGGACAGTTCTGCCCACCCCAGCTCATCTCTCCAGCTCAGCCTGCATGTATGCCTTCCTCCAACTGATTCCAGAGTAGGGGATGGGAGGTCTCACGTTGACCTCAAGTTTAAGTGACTTTTTCCACCTCTGCTTTCCCAGACAGCCCTTGCTGTGGGACTTGTAAGGAGATTTGTGAGGTCAGTATCTACTTTTCTTGTGTGGGTGTTTATAAATTATTCCCCTGGAGGGGAATAAATGTTAGAGGTACTCCAAACCCCTAACATATAAACATCTAAGCCTGGCCCTTTTTTGGTGGTAAAATATACACAACATAAAACTTACCATTTTAACCATGTTTAAACGTACAGTTGAGTGGCATCCAGTATAATGTGTTGTACAACCATCTCCTTTATCCATATCTACAACTTCTTTATCAGCCTAAACTGAAACACCAAACCCATAAATAAGTCTTTGAATAGAAGACTGATGCATTTGACTCCATACAAATTAAAACTTTATAGGCGAGAAAAATGCCTCAAAGTCAAAAGTGAACAGACTGGGGAAATAGATCTGCAACATACATGACAGACAAAAAGCTAATTTGGGTAATATATATGTATATATATAGCTATATAGCTATCCTAAATTATTAAAAGACCAACAGCCAAATTGAAAAATGGACAAGGGATGTAAAGAAACAGTTCAAGGAAACAAGTAGATTTTTAAATATTTGCTAATTTTTTTACTGTGGTAAAATACGTATAACAGAAAAGTACATTAAGTATAAATACATTGTTGTGCAACTGTCACCACTATCCATTCCAACCCTGTCTTATCATCCCAAAGTGAAACTCTGTATCCACGGAACAATAGCTCCCCTTTCCCTTCCCCCCATCCCCTGGAAACCACATCCTACTTTCTGTGTCTATGAATTTAATTGCTCTAGGTATGCTATAAAAGTGGAAAGCATAGAGTATTTGCATTTTTTTGTTTTAATCTTTTCAAGGTTTATGTTGTAGCATGTATTAGAATTTCTTTTTAAGGCTGAATAATATATCATTGTGTGTATTGATCATATTTGTTTATCCATTCATCTGTAGATGGACATTTGGGCTTTTTCTACCCTCTGGCTCTTGTGAATGCTGCTATAAACAGGGATGTGCGAATTCCCACTTTCAGTTTTTTGGGGTATATACCCAGATGTGGAATTACTGTATCATATGGTGATTACTGTTTTCCACAGTGGCTGTGCCATCTTACTTTCCCACCAGCAGTGTGCAGGAGTCCTGACTTCTCCACATCAGCATTTGCTGTTCTCTGGGGCTTTGTTGTTTTGCTTTGCTGGTGGTGGTGCTTTTGATGGCAGCTATGCTTACATGTGTTAGTTGGTATTGCACTGTGGTTTGGATTTACTTTTTTCTCACGATTAGTGATGCTGAGCACCTTATCCTGTGTTTACTGGTCATTTGCATATCTTCGTAAGAGAAATGTGTATTCTAAAACCTTTGCTCATGTTTAAATTTGATTGTTTTGTTGTTGTTGCTGAGGTCTTTATATAGCCTAGATATTAATTACTTATCAAATATATAATGTGTGAATATTTTCTTTCCCTTCATGAATTTATTTTCAATCTATTGATCATATCTTCAGATACATAACAGCTTGTCACTTTGATGAAGTTCTTTTTATGTATTTTTGTTGTTGTTGTTGTCTGTGCTTTCACTGTCATATCCAAGAAATTATTGCCAGATTCTATGTTATGAAACATTTTTCCTATGTTTCTTCTAAGGGTTTTATAGTTTTAGCTCTTACAATTAGATGTTTAGTCCATTTTAAATTAAGTTTTTTATATGGTGTAAAGTAAGGGTCCAACTGTATTGTTTTCCATGTAAATATTCATTCTTAACACCATTTAAAAATATACTGTCCTTTCCCCATAGTTTTTACTCCCTTGTTAAAAATCATGACTGTGTTTTTTGGTTCTCTATTTCTATTGCATTGGTCTTTATGTCTGTCTCTATGGTGGTACAGCATTGTTTTGGGTACTGAAGCATTGCAGTAAGTTTGAAACCAGGAGGTGTTAGTCCTCTAACTTTGTTAGTTTTTAAGATTGATTTGGCTACTTGGGGTTTTTTGAGATTTCATCTGAATTTCAGAATAGGTTTTTCTATTTTTGCAAATATTGGAATTTTTATAGTGATTTTATTGAATCTGTAGATAACTATTGATAACAATGGCGTCTTGATGAGGTTTTGTCTTCCAGTCCATAAACACATGATGTCTTTTCATTTATTTGTGTCATCTTTAATACTTTCCTGCAATGTTTATAGTTTTGCTGTACAGGTTTTTCATTTCCTTGGTTAAGTGGGCTTCTAAGTATTTTATTCTTTTGATGCTATCATACATGATACTGTTGTCTTGATTTCTTCTTCAGATAGTTTGTTATTGTAGAAATACAACCGATTTTTGTGTCTTGATTTTGTATCCTGCAGTTTTGCTGAATGTTATTTATTGCATCTGATAGTTTATCTCACAGAAACTAAAAGATTTTTAATACATAAAGTTATGTCATCTGCGAACAGAAAATTTTACTTTTTTAAAAATTGGAATATCTTTTATTATTTTACTTGCCTTATTGTTTTAACTAACTAGAACCTTCAGTACTATATTAAATAGAAGTAGTAAAAGCAGGCATCCTTGATTTTGCTCTTAGGGTAAAAGCTTTCAGTCTTTCATTATAATGTTAGCTGTGTGTGTTTTTAAATATAACCTTATGTTGTTTTATTCCTTTTTATAGCTTATTAAGTGTATTTTATCATGAACGTGGGTTAAATTTTGACAAATGCTTTTTCTTTGATTAAGGTGATCACGAGGTTTTTTCCTTCTTTATGTTAATGTGATATTATGCTGATTTTCATGTGTTGGAACATTTATTTCAGGAGTCAATTATACTCATTCATAGTGTATAATCCTTTTAATGTACTGCTAAATTTGAATTGCTGGTATTTTGTTGAGGATTTTTGCATCAGCATTTGTAAGGGATGTTTGTTTGTAGTTTTCTTATGGTGCCTTTGTCTGGCTTGGTGTCAAGGTAATACTGGCCTCATAGAATAAGTTAGAAAACATTACCTCCTCTTCAACGTTTTGAAAAAGTTTGAGAAAAACTGGTGTTAATTCTGCTTTAAACGTTGGGTAGAATTCAACAGTGAAGCCATCTGGTCCAGGCTTTTCTTTGTTGCTGGGTTTTTGATTACTTATGCCATCTTCCTGCTGAATCTCCTTGCTGAATAGGTTTATTCAACTGTTCTGATTCAGTCTTAGTAGGTTTTTTGTTTCTAGGAATTTGTTCATTTTATTTAGGTTACTCAATTTTTTAGTGTATAGTTCCTTATGGTACTCTCGTGCATCCTTTTTTTACTCCAAAAATTTGTTAGTAATGTACCCATTTTATTTTTGAGTTTAGTAATTTGAGTATTCCCTTTTTTTCCTTAGTCAATCTATATAAAATTTTGTCAATTTTGATCTTTTTCAGAGAACAAACTTGGTTTTGTTGATTTTTGATATTGTTTTTCTGTTCTCTATTTCACTTATTTCCACTGCTATCTTTATCATTTTTAAAATTTTGCTAGCTTTTAGTTGTCCCTCTTTTAGTTGTCCCTCTTTTAGTAGTCCCCTTTTTTCCCTCTGTTTTTAGTTCCTTAGGAGTAAAGTTGTTGATTCGGTATCTTATTTTTTATTATCATTTATAGCTATACATTTTTCCCTTATGGTATTATTTTTGATGTATCTCTTAACTTTCGGTATTTCATATTTTTAATTTGTCTCTAGATATTTTCTGTTTTCTCTTGTGATTTCTTTTATCCATCCTTGAGTGTTTAATACCTATATTTTTAGACATAAAATGTGAAACCTACAAAATTTTCTTGATTTGTTACAGTTTTATTTGTTGTAAGTTTTTATTTAAGAATTAAATGTGTGTATCAACATTTGTTATGTTCTCATAAACTTTGTAATACATGGAGATTCCTGGTCCACATATATAAGCCTCTACATGAATATTATTTTGAAGCATTTAATTTTCTGTTTTAAGATTTCAAAGGTCTAAATGAAATTGAGATTTTGGTTTCTGAGATGAAATCATGGTAGGTGACTGATAAATGCTTAAAAATTAGCCAAAACTTATAATTAAGTTAAAGTTTACCTTCAAGATTCAACCTGAATGAGTTGCCCTGTATTGCTGGTAATAAAAAATAAGTCTTTAATGGTATAAAAGCAAACTTCAGAGAATGTCTTTTTTTCCCCCATTGACATCTAAATTAAAAGCTGTAAAAAATTTTGATGGCCTTATGCATTTTTTACTTTAGAATTCCAACTTTTTCTGGTTAAAATTTTTCCAAACAGATTCCTGTGTATTTGAAAGACAAATAATTTTTTAGTTAAAATGCTTAAGCAGTTAAATAAGGCCACGAAACTTTCTTGAACTTGTGGGAATCCATGAGAAAATCTGACATTATGTTCTGTTCTCTTGGAAGGTAGAAATATCGTTTGACTTCTGTTTTGCTGACAAGAAATGTGGTCCTGAGCAAGGCTGCCTGGGACAATGACCTCACACATGGATAATGCTGGAGCCCATCTGTCTCCAATCTGCTGTTTTCCAAAAATTAGGGAAGTTCAGTTTTCCCTTTGATACTCTCTGTTTCTACCAACCCCAACGCCAGGGCTGTCCTGCTTCTACAAGTGACAATGACAAATATAGGCCTGAAGGAAGATGAGCTGATGGCATTCCCAGCTTATTACCACTCCTTGGGGGCCTTATCTCACATACGTGGATTCAATTCATAGACTCAGGTGGGTGAGGATCTATTGTTCAGCTACATTAGAAGTGACTGCTTAAGACTCTGGTGTGTGGTGAAATGAGGCAGAATTTTCTCAATGGCGTGTTGGGAGAAGTTTCTCCTCATAATTACCATCTTACTATCACTAAATCATAGCTAAAATAAGGAAATTATTCAAGAAGAAATAGAAATGTAATCTTATGAAGACATAAATTTAGAGATTTGTGGAAAGCCCTTCATAATTTCATGGTGTTCTCTTTGAGCTGGGATTATAGTTGATATTTCATTATAATATATTAGCTGTTCTAGACTTTATGCATTTATGTAAAGTTTTCTTTGTTGTACTTTAAGTTCTGGGATACATGGGCAGAGCATGCAGGTTTGTTACATAGGTATACACGTGCCATGGTGGTTTGCTGCACCCGTCAACCTGTCATCTACATTAGGTATTTCTCCTAATGCTATTCCTCCCCCAGCCTCCCACCCCCGACAGGCCCCAGTGTGTGATGTTCCCCTCCCTGTGTCCATGTGTTCTCATTGTTCAACTCCCACTTATGAGTGAGAACATGCAGTGTTTGGTTTTCTTTTCTTCTTTTTCTTTTTCTTTCTTTTTTTTTTGAGACAAAATTTCACTCTTGTCGCCCAGGTTGGAGTGCAATGGCATGATCTTGGGTTACCACAACCTCTGCCTCCTGGGTTCAAGTGACTCTCCTGCCTCAGCCTCCCAAGTAGCTAGGATTACAGGCATGTGCCAACATGCCTGGCTAATTGTGTCTATTTTTAGTAGAGACGGGGTTTCTCCATGTTGGTCAGGCTGGTCTCAAACTCCTCACCTCAGGTGATCTGCCTACTTCAGCCTCCCAAAGTTCTGAGACTACAGGCATGAGCCACTGCTCCTGGCCTGGTTTTCTTTTCTTGTGTTAGTTTGCTGAGAATGATGGTTTCCAGCTTCATCCATGTCCCTGGAAAGGACATAAATGTGTAGTATTCCATGGTGTATATGTGCCACATTTTCTTTATCCACTTTATCATTGATGGGAATTTGGGTTGGTTCCAAGTCTTTGCTATTGTGAACAGTGCTGAAATAAACATACAGTGCATGTCTTTATAGTATAATAATTTATAATGCTTTGGGTATATACCCCGTAATGGGATTGCTGAACCTTGAGGAATTGTCACACTGTCTTCCATAATGACTGAACTAATTTACACTCCTACCAACAGTGTAAAAGCATTCCTATTTCTCCACAGCCTCATCAGCATCTGTTGTTTCCTTACTTTTTAATAATCGCCATTCTAACTGGTGTGAGATGGTATCTCACTGTGGTTTTGATTTGCATTTATCTAATGACCAGTGATGATGAGCTTTTTTTCATATGTTTGTTGGCCGCATAAATGTCTTCTTTTGAGAAGTGTCTGTTCGTTTCCTTTGCCCACTTTTTGATGGGGTTTTTTTTTTTCTTGTAAATTTGTTTAAGTTCTTTGTAGATTCTGGTTATTAGCCCTTTGTCAGACATATTGCAAACATTTTCTCCCAATCTGTAGGTTGTCTGTTCACTCTGATGAGTTTATTTTGCTGTGCAGAAGCTCTTTAGTTTAATTAGATCCCATTTGTCAATTTTGGCTTTTGTTGCCATTGCTTTTGGTGTTTTAGACATGAAGTCCTTGCCCATGCCTATGTCCTGAATGGTATTGCCTAGGTTTTCTTCCAGGGTTTTTATGGTTTTAGGTCTTATGTTTAAGTCTTTATTCCATCTTGAGTTATTTTTTTGTATAAGGTATAAGGAAGATGTCCAGTTTCAGTTTTCTGCATATGGCTAGCCAGTTTTCCCAATATGATTTATTAAATAAGGAATCCTTTCCCCATTGCTTGTGTTTGTCAGGTTTGTCAAAGATCAGATGGTTGTATGTGTATGGTCTTATTTCAGAGTTCTCTATTCTGTTTCATTGGTCTATGTATCTGTTTTTGTACGAGTACTATGCTGTTTTGGTTACTGTAGCCTTATAGTATAGTTCGAATTTGGGTAGTGTGATGCCTCCAGCTTTGTTCTTTTCGCTTAGAATTGTCTTGGCTATTTGGGCTCTTTTTTGGTTCATGAGAATTGTAAAATAGTTTCTTCTAATTCTGTGAAGAATGTCATTGGTAGTTTAATGGGAATAGCACTGAATTCTTTTATAAATTACTTTGGGCACTATGGCCATTTTCATGAATTAATTCTTCCGTATCCATGAGCATGGAATGCTTCTCCATTTGTTTGTGTCCTATCTGATTTCTCTGGGCAGTGGTTTGTAGTCCTCCTTGAAGAGGTTCTTCACTTCGCTTGTTAGCTGTATTCCTATGTATTTTATTCTCTTTGTAGTAATTGTGAATGAAGTTCATTCATGATTTGGGTCTCTACTTGCCTGTTGTTGGTGTATAGGAATACTAGCGATTTTTGCACATTGATTTTGTATCCTGAGATTCTCTTGATGTGGTTCATCAGCTTAAGAAGCTTTTGGGCTGAGATGATGGGGTTTTCTAGATACAGGATCATGTCATCTGCTAACAACCATAATTTGACTTCCTCTCTTCCTATTTAAATACCTTTATTTCTTTCTCCTGCCTGATTGCCCTGGCCAGAAATTCCAGTACTATGTTGAATAGGAGTGGTGAGAGAGGCCATCCTTGTCTTGTGCCAGTTTTCAAGGGGAATGCTTCCAGCTTTTGCTCATTCAGTATGATATTGGCTGTGGGTTTGTCATATATGGCTCTTATTATTTTGAGGTGTGATCCTTCAATAGCTAGTTTATTGAGAGTTTTTGACATGAAGGGATGTTGAATTTTATTGAAGGCCTTTTCTGCATCTGTTGAGATAATCGTGTTGTTTTTGTGTTTAGTTCTGTGTATGTGAGGAATTACATTTATAGATTTGCCTGTGTTGAACCAATTTTGTATCCCAGGGATGAAGCCATCTTGATCGTGGTGGGTCAAGGTACCCTTATCAGTCTTAGGTTCAGTCTTTTTACATAATCCCATATTTCTTGAAGGTTTTGTTCATTCTTTTTTGGTCTTTTTTCTGTATTCTCTCTTCCTGTCTTAGACAGATGGTTTTGAAGCTCTGAGATTCTTTCCTCCACTTGGCCTATTCTGCTAGTGATACTTGTGGTTGCATTGTGAAGTTCTCGTGTTGTGTTTCTCACCTCCATCAGGTCAGTTATGTTCCTCTCTAAACTGAATAATTCTGGTTATCACCTTCTGTAATTTCTTTTATGATTTTTAGCTTCTTTGCATTAAGTTAGAATGTGCTCCTTTAGCTCAGTGTGGTTTGTTATTACCCACCTCCTAAAGCCTACTTTTGTCAATTCAGCCATCTCAGCCTGGGGTCAGTTCTGTGCCCTTGCTGGGGAGGTGGTGTTGTCATTTAGAGGAGAAGAGGCATTCTGCCTCTTTGAGTTTTCAGCGTTTTTGTGTTATGTTTTCTCATCTTTGTGGGCTTATCTACCTTTGATTTTTGACATTGCTGACCTTTGAATGGGGTTTTTGTGGGGTCTTTTTTGTTGATGGTGTTGCTTTCTGTTTGTTTTTAACAGACCACTCTTCCCTAGGTCTGCTGTGGTTTTCTGGGGGTCCACTCTGGACCCTGGTCACCTCAGTCTCTCCTGCACCTGGAGGTATCACCAGTGAAGGCTGCGAAACAGCAAAGATCGCAGCCTGTTCCTTCCTCTGGGAGCACCAGTCCAAGGAGGTACCGACTTGATGCCAGCTGGAACGCTCCTGTAGGAGGTGTCTGGAGACCCCTGTTGGGAGGTCTTGCCCAGTCAGGAGAAACAGGATCAGGGACTGCTTAAAGAAGCAGTGTGGCTGCCCTTTGGCAGAGCAGGTGTGCTGTGGTGACTGCCAGGAGTCTCCAGAGCCAGCAGGCTGGAAAGGCTCAGTCGGCTGAACTGGGGAGACAGCAGCTACCCCTCTCCCTGGGGACTTCATCCCAGGGAGAAATCAGAGTTCTGTCCATAGAACTCTGGCTGGAGTTCCTAAATTCCGATGGGCAGGCCCTGTTCGGTGAGGAGGGATGGATTTCGGTCTCACTTAAAGAAGCAGCCCGGCCACGATCAGTCACAGCAGCTGTGCTGTGTTATGGGGGACTCCTCCTGGTCCCTGGTGCCAGCAGGCTAGAGCGGCCAACTCAAACCACAGATAGAGTGGCTGCCCTACCCCGGGAACCCGGTCCATCTCCGGCTGCCTCCAGCCTGCTGCCACTGGCCAGCTGGAATTCCAAGCCAATGGGACTTGTGAGGTGCTGTGGGAGTGGGGCCTCAGAATGATGTCACTTGGCTCCCTGGATTCAGCCCCCTTCCTAGGGGAATGCACGGATGTATCTTCCGCTTTGCTGGAATTCTCGGGGCAGAGGATGCAAAACTCCTGGGCTTTCACGCATGCCCCAGTGAGCCAGCGAGCATTCCGCCCAGACTCCACACAGCTCCGTGCTTCAGACCCAAGGCCATGGCTGAGCTTACCAGGGGACCTCCTGATCTGCAGGTTGCAAAGATCCGTGGGAGAAGCATGGTTTCCCGGGCAGAGTCGCACAATCACTCACCGCCTCCCTTGGCTGTGAGTGGGGTCGCCCCTAGCTCCGTGCCACACCTGGGTGGGCCATCGCCCCACTTGCTTTTCCTCACTCCCTGTGGGTCGAGCTGTCTGGCTAGTCAGTCCCAATGCAAGAACCTGGATACCTCAACTGAAGGTGCAGAATTCACTCGCAGTTTTTACTGCTCTCCGTGAGAGCCGCAGGCCACAGCTGCTTCTAATAGGCCAGCTTGGCCCCATCTAAAGTATGATTTCTTAATACATGAGATGTTTTAAATATGTAACAATATTTATCACAAATAATATTTTGTCTCAATGTGATATAAAAATTACTAATAAATCAATTCTGTGTTGGTTACCACAAAGCTATCTGGAAATGTAACATCTGCCATTTAGAAAATTTTTGTAGAGTTAATAGAACTTTACCTGAAGGGAGGCTGGCAATATGCATCATGATTTCAAATATTGTATTAATTGTTTTGTAATTTTGTGTTTTTTAAAACTAAACTTATTAAATTGGTTGTATATTACTTTAGGTAGCATTATTTGGTGATGAGAGAATAATATGCAAAATATAAGAGTTCCTTATTATAAAAATATCCTGTTTTATATTACTACCACTTCCTCTGAAAGTTTAAAATTTTAATTTTCTAATTAAAATATATGTGAAACCCCCTCTCTACTAAAAATACAAAAATTAGCCAGGCACGGTGGCAGCAACCTGTAATCCCAGTTACTCGGGAGGCTGAGGCAGAGGAATCGCTTGAACCGGGGTGGTGGAGGTTGCAGTGAGCCGAGATCTAGCCACTGCATTCCAGCCTGGGTGACAGAGTGAGAATCTGTCTAAAAAAAAAAAAAAAGTTATATTATGTTGAGATTAAAAAAATAAATGACATGATTTGTCTACAGATCTTTATTACTCTACCTCATTTACATTAAATTTATGAACAACTTAAATAATAACACACAGGGCTTTTATTATTATTATTGTGATAATTTCTTTGTCAACATCATTTTTACCATGTTGTATAAACAGCATTGTAAGACCTGTGACTGGTCATTGACAATATATACAATATGTGTATATTTGTACGCAGGATCTAGCTCTGTCATTCTTGCTGGAGTGCAGTGGCACAATCACAGATGACTCCAGATTCAAACACCTAAGGTCAAGCCAGTCTCCCACCTCATCCTCCCTAGTGGCTGGGACTACAGGCATATGCCGCCACAGTCGGCTAGTTTAAAAAGAAATTGTAGAGACAGGGTCTTGCTATGTTGCCCAGGCTAGTCTTGAGCTCCTGGCCTCGAGTGTTCCTCCAACACTGGCCTCCCAAAGTGCTGGGATTACAGATTTGAGCCACCATGCTCTGCCTGCTCATATATTCTTCAATAATGAGTTAAGAAAAACCTATCACCAGGCAGGATTTTTAGAGGTTTCCAAAACTGGAACATATGACTTGTGATCAAGCCCTTCCACTGTTTTCTGTCTTTTATCTCTGCAATAACAGTTCCGCTACTGTTTTCCTCAATGAGCTAAGAATTAAACGTCTTGAGATCATAAATGCCTATGTTTGTAAACATTGTGATTCTGCCTGCACCCCACGTTAAGTTAAATTGTCAGAGAAATTGAGATGCATTTTAGTTATTTGGTTATTATCTTATAATTATTCTTTTGGCATTTCTGCATTTCACAAGGTTCTTTTCATGGAAATATCTAGTTAGAAAGAATAATACTTTTCTAAAATTGTGAGCTCAGTTTCTCAGGTTGCCAACTATTGCCACTGCACTAACCAACCTTCCTTCATCTGTCACATGAAACTCTCATAATCACTTTATGTTGTTGATAACCAGTCACAGGTCTTACAGTGCCATTTATAGAATATGATCAAAGTAGTGTTGACTAAGAAATTATCAATATAATAATAAAACAGCCCAGTATTTTATTATATAAGTTGTATATATATTTAATTTAAGCCAGACAGAGTACAAAGATCTGTAGACAAATCGTGCCATTTAAAAAAAATCTCAACAAATTTGACATTATTATGAAGATGAAGAAACAGATTTATCAAGCTCTATTTTCTTTAAATTATTTTTTTATTATACTCTCTTTTATTATATTATTTATACTCTTTTATTAGACTCACGTCCTCAGGTGCAGGTGCCGGGCCCTCCTCCAACAGTGATCTCCGGCTCCCTCCCCGCTCAGGGGCCACTCTGCTCTGATACGGGCTCTGATGCCGGCCTGCAGCTCCCCTGCTCTTGGTTTCTGCCTGGTGTCACCTTCTTCCACGACACCCAGTCCCAGGATGACTGACGCCCAGGGAGATCTGTCGCCTCTCCGCAGAGACCACGTGTGTTCACCCTCGGCAGCAACACGCTGCTCCTTCCTCAAGGTGTCCTGAGGCATTGTGCATTTTCACCATTTCTGGGATGTAAAGAAGGAGGAATATTTGTCAGATAGAGAGAATACCGGTTCAGATGGTTGGTGGCTCAGATAGAGGTGGGGTTTGTTCCAGCCAGCAGCCCGTCCTGAGAACCAGGCTGGAAGAAACACCCTTCCCTGTGGCACCACAACACCTACACCGAGGTGTCTGTGCTGCCTGGAAAGCACAGCGGGTCTCCCCAGTGCTGGGGTCATCCGGAGAGCCAAGCACCTTCCAGGGGGGCCTCGAAGTGGGGGCACAGGCCCCCCAGGGTGCCCAGGCCAGACCGCCTCCTCTCAGGTGGTTCAGCAAGAGCTTCCTTCTGCCTCAGATCCTTCCAGGGTGTGGACTTTCTTTTCTTATGATTCTTTTCTGACTTCACCTTACGTTACTCCTCTCCATACCTAGATGGTAAGCCCGGTGAGGGCAGGGACCCAGCCTCCCTCATTTGCAAAGCAACCACAGTCCCTGCCTTTGAGCTGGGCTGTGGGTGCCAAGCTGGAGAGCATTTCGCCCTCTCCCACTGCTGCTGAACAGAAACCACAAATTTAGTGGTTTAAAATAGCACAGATTCCTTCTCTTGCAGAGCTGGAGGTCAGAAGTCCGAAATGAGTTTCACTGAGCCAAAGCCAGGGAGTCAGCAGGGCTGGTCCCTCTGGAGGCTGCAGAACACCTGCTCTGCACCTCCTCTGACCTCTGCAGCTACTTGGCACCCAGGACAGCTGTGCAGCCTCTGCTGTGTCTGAGCTGCTGTTGTTCCATGGCCCTCTCTGTGAGCTTGCTGCCTCCCTCTCATAAGGGCCCTCTCATAAGTCGTCTGGATGACCCAGAACAACCTCCCAATCTCTAGACACTTATCCCGACTCCATCCATAGAGTGCCTGTTGCATGTAAGGTAACGTGCCCACGGGTTCGTGGGATTAGGATGTGCACACCTTTGGGGGCCTGATGTAGCTGACCATGCCCACATCTGGTGGGAACCCACCTTCAGGGTTTCTTCTCCTTGGTCACAGGCTACAGCCCAAGACAAATGTCCCAGAGCCTGGAGCAGGGCCCCCCTCCCCCACTTTCCCCAAAGAGGCTGGCGTGGGAACAAAGCCCCTGTGTGGTCAGGAGCTGGGAGGGCAAGACAACAGAACAACAGGACAAGAGGACAACAGAACAACAGGGCAACAGCCATCCCAGCTGGAGAAGATTCTCAGGGCTGAGGTGGAGGAGGTCGGGCCTCAGCCGGGCTCAGAGTGGAACTGCTGGTCCTCCTGTCACAGGAGGGAGGGGCAGTGGGACGGGAAGAGAGGGCCTTGAGATCAAGCCATGCCCTGCTGAAGCCTGGCAGAGGGGCTGTGCCTCTGGGCAGCTGGTGTGAGCTGTCGTCTCGTGCAGCTGGTCTAGGATGGGGCAGAGGCTCTGCCTTGACCTCTCCCACCCCTGGTGCCATTTGCCCCTCCACTCCAGGTGAGCACAGCTGGAGCAGCAGCTACCTCGAGGACTGGTGGCCTTTGAGGTTTTCCCGATGGACTATTCAGCTTCTACCAGCGGGGCCCCGTGACTGCACTGCCTCCTGGGAGCTGCTACTGGGAGAGGCAGCGGTACAATCCCCCCTGCCTAGAGTCGTCAAGGGGCTTCCCCCACTGAGCTGAGACAAGGCCTTCTGTCTGCATCATGAAGCTGCGATCGCAGCTTCCTACAGCTATGAAACTCCCAGCTCAACCCACCCAGACTCAGTTCTGTTCCCTGAGACCTTCAGTCACAATGGCACACCTCGCCTGGTGTGGAACCTCCTGCTGTTTACAGTGATGAGCCCAGGGTGAGCAGAGACAAAGCACCAAGACACGCTCGTCAGAGAAGGGCTGGGCAGGACAGACACAGGCGGACAGGGTGGCCAGAGAGGCCGTGAGAAATGGACAAAACAGAGGGGGTGCATTTATCATCCCTTCCTCAGCACCTGACGCCAGGCAGGCCCTGTGCCTCCCCAGTCCAACTCTTCCAGGCATGGCAGATGCTTGATAATTCCTGCGACTGACCCAAAGGCTTCACAGGTCAGATTCCAGCCAGGCCGAGCCTGTGAAAAGACTTTCTTCAGAAAGTCCAGACCATGGCGATCATGGCCATTAAGGCTGGAAATGTTGGAAGACCTGCAGGGCACTGGGCTTGTACCTTGGCCTCTTGGACATGCCCCCTCCTCCCTCGTCTCTCCCCAGGGAGAGTCAGTGATGGTTCACCTGGTGCCAGGCTGTTCCCCATCCAGCAGGAGCCATTAGGGAGGAGCAGGTGGGCTGGGCCCCACAGACTGAGAGAGTCAGGTCCCCAGCCCTGGAGAAGGGCATTTTAATGAGTGTATTTGGCCAATGGCCAGTCACTGAGGCTGTGATCCTCCCCTGTCTCCGAGAAGCCCCAACATGGAAGGCTCAGGATAGAATATCCCCACGACCCTGCTCACCACCCTTCCCATGAGGCTCTGTCATGGGAGGCTGGATGCAGTGTGTCTTTAAAATGGTCTGCCCATCTCAGTCTCAAACTTTGGAAAGGGTTAACATAGCATTCCATGACCAGGATGCTGGGACTTTGAAGTTTCCCCTGCTAAACTGGACAGAGCCTCAAAAGAGCTCTTCCTCAAGCTGATTTAACCAGTCATTGGGTGGCACAGGCCATCAGCACTGAAGGCCGGCAGCAGAGAGATAAAGGGATGTAGCATCACTTATGCAAAAGCAGAATAAGGTATTACCCCTTGCAGATGGCTTCTGGCATTTACCTTGTTGGATCTCATGTTAGCAACGACCGCCAACACTTCTGAATGGCAACACTTAACGAGAGTCTTTTCATTCTCCATGAAAAGAGTTGTCACAGAAAAATTTAAAGGGAAAGTGGCTTTAAACTGCCCATATCAAGTAGGAGTCTCCGGGGCTTGGCTGAGCCAGCATTCCTCCTTTTAACTCTTCCATGTCGTTAGAGAGCCAGAGTTTGAAAGCCCTGGGACAGAAGAGGAGGAAGAAAAGGAAGACGAGGAGGACAAGGGGGAGGGAGAGGACAAGGAGGAGGCAGAGGAGGAGAATTAGGAAGAGGAAGAGGGGGATGAGGAGGCGGAGAGGGAGGAGGACAAGGAGGAGGTGAAGGAGGAGGAGTCAGGGAGAAGGAGGAGGAGTTGGGGAGAAGGAGGAGGAATCGGGGAGAAGGAGGAGAATAAGGAGGGGGAGAAGGAGGAGGAGAAGGAGGACTAGGAGGAAGAGGAGAATGACAAGGAGGGGGACAAGGAGGACAAGGAGGACAATGGATGAGGAGGAGGGAGAGGAGGAGGAGGGGTGGGAGAAGGAGAAGGGGGACAAGGGGGAGAAGGAGTGGGGGAGATGGAGGGGCCAGAGGAGGAGGCAGCCGTGGTGGCTTGGGCGAGGCGTTGGATCCAGGGCCTCCTTGGCTGTTGCCTCCCTCTAGACCTCAGTCTCCCGTCCTGTGAAATGGGCAGGCACTGAGGACCCTGTAGCATCCCCAGCCCATGAGTGCTCACCCCCTTGATGAGCAGCATCACTAGCATGTAGAAATACGTTGGATTTAAGATATTTCCAAGCCATGGTCCTAAGTGGTGGCCACATTCCAGGCTGTCCCCAGAGGCGATGAGGATCCGGTTGCTTGGCATAAGCCTCACTGTCGTGTTGTCAGCCTCTTTCTGCCTGCACCCTGGCGGGCGTGCAGGGCGTCCCACTGAGATTTTTCAGTTGCACTTCCTGATCACTACGAGGCTGAGCAGCTTTTCTCAAACTCATCAGCTATTTGTGTATCTTCCAAAGTGTTTGCTCAAGTCTTTGCCCGTTTTTTAGAATTGGGCAGTAGTCTGTTGATTGCTGGGTCTCCAGAGTTGCTTACACATTCTTCATGGAGGTCTTTCATCAGGTGTCCCTGTTGTGTGTATTTTCACCCAATGACTTCCATTTTCTTGAAGTCCAATTTATCAATCTCCCTCCTTCCCCTGTGGCTGGTTTTTTAAAATGAAGTTTTTTTATTTTAGAGCCATTTCGAGTTTACAGAATTGTTATAAAGATAGTGCCGGGTTCCCATATACTTCACACAGTTTGCTTATTATTAATGCCTTACATTATAATGGTACATTTGTCAGAATTAGCAAACAAACGTTGCTACATAATCATTGACTAAAGCCCACAGTTCATTTGGTTTGTTCTCGGGTGGCCGTTTTGTGGGCCGGGATCCCATCCAGGATCCCATCCAGGATCCCGTGTGACATTTGCTTGTCACATCTCCCTAGGGTCCTCTGGGCCGTGACAGTTTCTCAGACCTTCCTTGTTTTCTGTGATCTTGAAAGTTCTGAGAAGCTGGGCTCAGGCATCTGGGGGAGTGTCTGTCTGCCGGGGTTCGTGTGAAGTCTTTTTTTCATGATCAGATTCCGGCTGTGGGCTCCTTGGAGGAAGAGCAGAGGTGAGGCGCTTCTCATGCCACCACATCAGGGGTCCTGCCTCGGCCCGGCTCACTGCTGATGTTGACCTCGGCTACCTGGCAGAGTGTGCTGGCCAGGTTTCTCCAGCATGAAGTCACTCTCGTTTCCCTCGTAAGTTATACTCTAGTTTATCAATCTTCTAGTTTATGGCTTGTGTCTTCTCTATGAAACCCTTGCCTAACCTCTCAGTTTCGAAGGTATGAGAAGGAGGAGTCAAGATTCTTTTTTCTTTTCATGTGGATATCCAGTTTTGTTTTATTTATTTATATATTTTATATTTTAGAGACAGGATCTCACTCTATCGCCCAAGCTGCGATCACAGCTTACTGCAGCCTGAAACCCCTGGGCTCAAGGGATCCTCCTGCCTCAGTGTGCACCTCCGTGCCTGGCCTACATCTCTGTGTAGAGACACAGAGTCTTATGACGTTGCCCACGCTGGTCTCAAACTTCTGGGCCCAAGCAATCCTCCCACCTTGGCATCCCAAAGTCCTGGGACTACAGGCATGAGCCCCACTACGCCTGGCCTGATATCCAGTTATTTCAGTACCATGTTTCCCCCTGTGGTTTTGGCCTGCTTGTTGAAAATCATGGGATGGTGCCTGTCAGCCTATTTCTGTAATCTCTGCTCTATGCCAGTGAGCTATTTCTTTATGGCCTTACTGGTGCAAGATTTGACAACTCTTCTGATGGTGCCGTTCCTTTCCAGATGGCTGTGGCTGCCCTTAGACCTTCACTTCTCTATGAACTTCTAAATCATCCTGTTAATTTAGAGGAAAAGTCCACAGGGACTCCAATTGAGATTTCATTGAATGATTAGATCAATTTGTGAAGAATTAGACATGGTATATTTAGAGATATATCTCTCAGATAATTTTTGGTGTAGAGGTTTTCACATATATTGTGAAATTTATCCCTAAGTATTTGATTTTACTATTATAGATAGTATTTTTGACTTCATTTTAAATTAGTCATCAGCAGTATATAGAAATACAGCCTATCTTTATATGTTGACCTGGTGTCCTGTGATGTTTTAAATTAGTCATCAGTAGTATATAGAAATACAACTGATCTTTACATATTGACTTGGTGTCCTGTGATGTTGCAGAATTCACTTATTGGTTCAAGTTGATTTTTTGTGGATCCCTTAGGATTTGCCACCTCATTTCACCTGTAAATGAGGATAGTTTTACTTATTTCTTTCCAATATTTATACTTTTCTTTTCCTCATCTCTTTGCACTGGCTGGAACCTCCCAGCCCAATGCTCACTAGAAGAGATGAAAACAAAAACAGAAACCCTTCCCTTTCTCCCCGTTTTAGGGGGAGTTATTGAGTATTTCATCATTTGTTATGATGTTGGCTATAGAAAAAAAAAAGTCTGTTTTTAACAGTGCTAGCCACTGGGAGAGTAAGCACCTGCCCTTATCTGAAGGCAGGGACTTCTGAAGGCCTCTGTGCTGAGTTCCAAATGACTTCCAGGTCACAATTAGCTCCTGGATGTTTACAGACAGAGTTGCAGAGACGTTCCTGGGTCCCATGACCCTCGTTGGACCCCAGGCATGCAGAGGGGAAAGCAGCATCCTCAGGCCCAGCCCAGGCGAGTGTCCTGCCTCTCTCACTGTCAGGGACACCAGGAGCTTGCAGCAATGGTCCTAACCGCTCCCTGCTCCTTCTCCACTTTATGGTCCTTACAACTAGGTGATCCCCTGCTCCAGGATCTCAATCATAAAGGGTAGAGAAGCATCTGCGTGAGGCAAAGGTGGACCTGAAAGCCAGGCCAGTGTTCGTCCCCACTCGGCCTTTGTTGCTCTGTCTCGTCCAGGCTAGGACCTGCATGTGTCAGGGAAGCAGCTGGCTGAGCTCATGGGGGCAGAGAACCACCAATGAGGTGGGGGAAGAAGGGTCACGCTTCATTTAGAGGGGCACACAGTGCAGAGGAGGCCAAGCCTAGCCAGGCAAGACGTGCATCCTGAGTGAGGCGGGTAAGACCACCTGCATTCAATGTGCCCCCTGTGTCTCCCCACTTCTCAACTCTTGTCACACACTGGACAAGCAGAGACAGGAAAGAATCACTCCGTGTCATTGAATAAACTGGTTTAGAGCTCTGTCTGATAAAACTACAGTGAACAGAGAAGAAAAGAGCCATCGCGTTTTCACGTGTGGCCGGCCTGGGTGCAGCCTTCTGAGGGATCCCTGGAAGCCTCAAAGCTGTTTCATCTCGGGCGAGGTTTGGGGTCCTCTGATATTTGTGGATTCTCTACCATATGGGAGACCTAAAGGCTCAGAACATGAAAAGTGTTGGGAGCTTTAAACTACTATCTTCTCTTTTCCTTTGGTATAATGCACGAGAGCAAAATGTACAAACGGATCTCCTTATATTCAAGGTACAGACCAAGGAATGAAACCCAGGGAGCAAAAGGCACGGCAGACAGCAGCAGGGCCAGGGCTGTGTCCAGTCCTCTGAAGACTGCGGGGTCTGCATAAAGGAGGCCCTGTCTCTTCCCCTTGGGCTGCTCGAACCACACAAGCTGATGTCAGGAGTGACTAAATCTACCCTAATTAATAGACCATTTGACTCAAGTCTGAGCTAGGAAGCAAACACACAAAAGGGGTTCCTATAAAAACACCAGCAGAGGCGTGGAGCCGTTTCGGCGTGCTGTGGAGAGAGCTAACTCCTGGCTGCTGATCTCTTGAGGCCACGTGAGGGCCCCCCTCCCTGGCTTGGCCACCCACACCTCCCCTGGGCCGGCACCTTCTTATCTGGATGAAAGCAATTCCCACCTCACGGGAAAGTTTTAGGCAACATTGTTTATTGCCTGCAAATCTCCCTGTGTGGTCTTGCTGAGGGACCAGCAAAAGCAAGTTGCTTCTGCTCTCTGTTGACTTTGGCCAGAGCATCTTTTGACTGAGATTTGACTGAATCACCACCGTCTGACAGTTATGAAGGATTTGATTTATTCTGGACACCGGCCTTCTCCAAGCTGGTGGCTAATAAGGTCCTATGAATGTTGTTAGCTGTTGACTGTGGACCACATAATTTCTCAGATTCTGCACCTCTTTGGAGCACTAGCTGGGCGCTGCCTGGAGGAACTTTCTCATGGTGGAAATGTCAACAGATGGTTAGCTGTTCAGGGGCACCCCATCCACCAGGCGAGCTCAAAGCAAATGTCCTTCTGGAGTGAGTGCATGAGTCCAGGAAGGCCAGGCATGTCGTTGTGTAGGGCCATGAGTCCACGAGGAAATGAGGTGCCAGTCCCCCTGCTCCTCACAGGGATAGACCGGGACTCACTTCCGACCAGTTAATTAATGGACTGGAGACTTGTGACCCACCTGAGGACCAAGTCCTCGCAGGACACTGGGTAGAATGATAAAGACAAGCAGTGGCATGACCTCTAATGCCAGAGTAGGAACGTGTGCCCCATGCCCACCCGGGTCGCTAGGCCTTTACTGCAGCCGAGGCACTGCCTCTGTCTGGTCTTGGGTGCTGAGAGGCCGGGACCTGCTGCGGCCTGTTGGATGCAGCTCATGCTCCCTCCCGAGTCTGTGGCAGAGAGCAGTAGGGGCTCAGGGCAGCAGAAGGCCCAGGGAGAGGAGGGGGTCCTCCCTGTCCAGGTGAGAGCCTTTGACCATCCCAAGAGCCGGGGTGCCCAGTCGTCCTTCAGCACTGGGCCTTCCAGCAGGCCAAGGGAGACACTATCAGAACCTCATCATAGGCTGTTTAAGGCTTAAGTGAGGTTGACAGGTGAAATGCTGAGAACAGTGGCCCCTTGCAAGCGTTTTATGGAGGTAGTGTATTCTCTGTGTGGATGCAGGTGGGGAGAAGTGGAAGGAAGGACGCACGAGAGCCAGCCTGCGACACCTAAGGACAGAAACACCTCCCTCAGCCCAGCCGGCTGCTGACTCCATGCGAAGAGGGACACCGACCCTTACAATCTCACAGTGTCCTGCCCCTGCCCCTGCCCCTGTGAGGTGGGAATCATTATGCTTATTTCACAGACGCAGAAACTCAGAGGGCTTAAGGGTGATTGAAGGTTGCTCCAGGCCTGGACTCGAATCTGTGTCTTTGCTTCCTAGGGCGATGCTCCTTCCATCAAAACCAGAGTGTCCCAGCTCTAGATTCCCCACCCAATCCCCATGGCCCCCACTCACCACCTCCTGTGGCTGTCTCAGCACCTCCATCGTGAATCCGTGCATCCCTTCAGACGACTGCCTTCCGATGCGGCCCCTGACCTGCACCCCCTCCCATCACTGAATAGGACTCCTTTTCTCCTGGATTTCCTGTAGGAAATTTCAAAATGCTCTCCAGGTTTTCTGTGGGTGGATTCTCTCTCTGGATCTTTCTAAGTGAGTCCTGTGTTTCACCACAGCTCCCCCCACACAGTTGAGCAGCTGTACCGTGGGGAGGCTTGGTCCTCTTGCCCCATTTGTGTGATGTCTATTGCAGTCATGCCAGGGTCCTGACGTCAGAGCTCCACCCTGACATGTGCTCATGCCGGTTTACAAACTCTCCCAGGACCAGGCCCCCATCCCTCTTCCAGGACAGGCTCTGGAGCTCCAGCTATTAACAGAAACATTCCAGCCAGCATCCCCAGCGACCCTCAGCCTCCCACGCCGCTGTGTCTTCATGACCACAGCCTGGCCACCACACAGCTCCCCCTCGAGGACTGTGACCACTTCCAGCCATTGTCTCTTTGGGCCATGCGGGATATATTCCCATTTCCCCATTCAGCTGGGAGATTTTACCAAGGGATTTTTCTCTCCTGGCTCCAATGCCAGCAAGACCATGAACAGCTGTGTCATTTTCACTTTCAAGCCTCAGCTTCTGTACATAAAAGAATACAGTTAATAATGATTTCCTCCTCCTGAGTTGCTATCGAATGAAATGAGGTTATGCACACACACGGCAAGGACCTGCGTCTGGCAGGAACAACATCTCGTTCATCGTCACGAGTGCTTCCCCTTGTGTCTTCCCTCCTGTGTGTGAGATGGGGGCTCCCAGGCCTCCCCAACAAAATACACTTTTCCAGCTTTTAGAGGCCAGCATTCCTAACTCCTTGCAATAAATCCCTATCATAGTACAAATGTAAACACATCACGGTATAACTCAAATCAACTGCCCCTGATTTTGCCATGTTTCAACCTTTTGTTGCCATCGGCCTCCTAAACAATGGCTTTAATGGAAACACAGGTATGTAAGCTTGGAAGCTGCTCAAACATCTGAGTCATTCAGAAATAAAACACTTGTTGAGCAGCTAGTCTGTGCCAGTTGTATTAGAGTTCTCCATAGAAACAGAACCAATAGGATGTACACAGAGAGAGGGATGAGCAGGAATTTTTCATGTGACTTGGCTCATGTGATTATGGAGGATGAGAAGTCCTGCTGCCATCTACAAGCTGGAGAACCAGGGAAGTTGCTGGTGTACGTCCCGGAGTCCAAAGGCCTGAGAACCCCGAGTTCTGATGTTTGGGGGCAGGAGAAGATGGATGTCTCAGATCCAGAATAAGGAAAGAATTCACCCTTCCTCTGCCTTTTTGTTCTATCTGGGCCCTCAGCCTTTGGGGAGCGTGGATTTTCCCACTCACTCCCCTGATTCAAATGCTGATCTCTTCTGGAAACGCCCTCTCAGGCGCACTTAGAAAGCATGTTTTATCAGCTATCTGGGTTTCCCTCAGCCTAGTCAAGTTGACACCTAAAATTAACCAACCACTAGGCAATGCACTACCTAGGAATACAGAGCCAAGGAGGGCGGGATCTTCCCAGGCCTCAAGGTCTCTCATCTGCTGAGCAGACAGGCATGAGGCAGACTCTCACAAGTAATGAGGTTGGTGGCAAGGACTACAAAAGAGAAAGACCTCTGCCAAATGCAAAGTTGCACTAAGTGCTAAGATAAACCCAAATCTGAACTGCAGAACTGTGGGCTGTGATGTTCACCCCCACCCAAGTGGCTATGTTGCCACATCGGCTGCAAACACACGTGAATTTGGGCTGGGTATCAGGAAATGAAGTCATTCTGGGAATGGAAATTGAAGTTTCTTTAGGGAACTGTGAAAATCTGCATTGGAAAACAGATACTGCGAGAGAACAGGTTCTGCAGACCAGCAAACAGTCCAGACACTGGATTTCTTCCCTGCTCGCTGTCTGGCCGCAGCAGGGGACAGACAGGCAGAGCGGGCGTGTGTCAGAAGGTGTTTTCTAGGGGAAAGAAGGAATAAAAGAAGACCCAGAGGAGATGCAGTGACATTGGGAGGTTCAATAATTTCCCTGCAGTTGAGGGCCCCTGGACCACTGTTTCCCCAGCAGAGACAAGGTGGTGGCTGGCATGGAGGGAGCTTCCTTAGAAGAACCCAGAACCCGTGTATTCCCCTGAGAAGCGTCATGAAACCTCTCAGATCTCTAATCCCTGCACTGCCCTGGAGCATCAAGGCCCAGCGCTGCTGTTGAATATTGTGAATGTGGTTTTTCCTGACTCACCATAGAGTCAATAATTTCCAGTTTAAAATTGTTAAATATCCTTCCAGATTATGCCATTATCCAAGAAAGTCTTAGCTGGCTAAACTGGAGCAAGCAATTCTTTTAGGAATCTGGAGAGCAAGTTTATTGTGAGAATCTTGCAGCTGTGACAGACAAATGTCCACAGAGAGAAGAGACGCCTTTGAGAGGTAGTGAGCCTGATAACTGAGCACCGGGAGGGCTGCAGAGCCCCTGGGGGTGGCACAGTCCAGGATCTCCCCACCTGCCATCCTCTGAGGTGGATGCTCCTGCCTCTGAGACAGGCAGCCCTCTGCTTGCTGGCTGCTCCCCAGCATCTGTTTCTGACTCTCTGCGCAAAACGGACAGGAAAGTTGAGGGTCCCTGCCCAGTGTCTGTCTCCAGGCACAGAGTCTCAGTACCAGCTCTCAAAACTCTGTCTGCTCACCTGGGCAGCTCCAGGAGGCTGGGGAGGAGTCAGGAGTGCAGCCGCCCCTTGAAACTTCCCAGGATGGCTGGTTTGGGGGTTTATCACATTATTTTTCTCCCTCTGGTTTTAGCCACTGTAGGCCAGTTTGTTCACAGATTTTTACCAACCTTGGCTCATTTCATTACCTTATCAGAGGTGGGAATTCTGAGGTCCCTAAGCCAGAGGCTTTCAGGGATGTGGCTCCCTCTGCCGCCCTGGCAGGGAGGGCGCAGGGGTCCCAGGTGGAGCCTCTGACCTAGAGCCTTTGGCTCTAGAGCCTGGAGCCTTACCGCAAGGCTGCCTGTGGGTTTGGCGTCGTCCTGGAGCCCAGGCTGCTGGTTGTCTGGAGACAGCCTCCCCGTAAGATTTCTCTGAGACAAGAAACAATTATGCAAATTATCCTAATTCTGTTTTAAAGAATAGAGAGATTGATTGCAGAGACAAACCATTTAGGCAGGCAATGTAGAAGGTGTTTCCATGGCTAATCTGCCTTCAAAGGAGAGGGATTTTGTTTGTAAACTTCAGACCCAGAAAATTGATTGTTCTGTCAACTTTAGATAATTATCTGTCCTCCCTGAGGCCCTAAGCTTAGCAGAAATGTTCTTTCTCTGAATCAGTACTCAGCTTTGGATCTCTGTTGGGTTCCCTGTAGAGTGCTAAATCAGATTCCCCCAAAGCAGTGGATCAGGAGCCTTCCTCCAGCCACAGTGCCCATCCTGCCTGCAGAAGAATGGACAGAGGGACGGGAGGGCTGCAGAGCTGGCACTGTGTCCCTGGAGGGGCTGGTGGGGACTCACTGTTCGGGGGACAGGGGAGGCAGAGTCCACACTCAACTGCTGCGTGGAGATGGGCATGAAGGGCAGGCAGGTCTGGCCTTGGCCTTGCGGTTTGTTTCCATTAAAGACCTTCAAGACCAGAAGGGACCAATAGGGCCGGACTATGCAGGGAGAGAAGAGGTTCTAGGGAACTGAGTTCCGAAGTCTTCGTCTTCTCACTGTGCAGTGGGGTTAGCCTATAAAGCAGGCTGCTTGTCCTCGGGAGAGCTCATTGTGGAGAAACATCACTGGACAGAGCCCCTCCTTATCTGCATCAGACTCCTCTGGTCTCCCCGGTTGCCTTTTTCTCTGCCCCTAAGGGCATCTGTCCCTGGAGAGGCTCTCAGGACAGTATCCTGGACACCCCCTGCCTGGACACCCCTTGCCTGGCACCCCTCCTCTCCACAATGTCGTCAGAGAGCTCCACCTGCCCTTCTAGCCCCCTGGTCCAGCACTGCTGGTCATGAGGTTTGGGCCCTGTGACCTGCCCAGATCCAAGCTGTGGGGAAAGTTTGCTGAGACCAGTTTGGGGAACAGAGGGCCTTGTTGTACCATTTGTTCTGGGCACAGGGGACCTCCTGCATCGTCTATCTCCTCCATGAGATGCTAGTTTCAGGGATTCCTTGGGGACACTGGAGAGCAGGGCTGGCTCAGGCAGGGGCCTGACCATAGTCCAGACAGTGCAGACCCTACCTGAGGTGCCACACGGGCCCTCATCAGTCTTCTCTTCACACAGTGGAGTCACTCCTGTGCCTCCCCTGTCTGCACTCCATTGAGCCGGGAAAGGCCTGCAGTAGCCAATGCCCACATTTGAGTTTCAAATGTGAATATACCCAGGGATTGCAATTTACCAAAAGATGAAGGAAAAGGCCTCTCCCAGTACTTGGTCAACATTATTCTGTGGTATTTTTCAGATGAAATTAGCATTTAAGCCAGTATACTTTTAGTAAAGCAGATTATGCTCCATAATGTGGGTGGGTCTCATCCAATCAGTTGAAGGCCTTAAAGGAAGAAATACTGACCTCCCAGGGGAAGAGGGAATTCTGCCCCTGGACTCAAGCCACTCTTCCTTGGATTCTAGCCTCTGTAATCACATGAGACAATTCTGGACATCTCCTTCTCTCTTTTCTGTTTCTCTGGAAAACCCTGACTAATGCAATTCTTGTTAAGCTGCTTTTAAGAAGTGTGAAGAAAATGTTAAAAAGATGTAACTAAGAATTTTGAGTGGATGATCTAATTATTTCACACTGGCTGAGATCTCCCTGATGTTGACATTGCAATGACACTGTGCACTTCTTGGCGTAAGAAAAAGTGCAGTCTCAGTATCCCTTCCACTAAATAGGAAGGCAAATTGCCATTTCCCGAAAAGTCCAGAATACTAAGTAGGTTGACGAGTAACTCTTGAAGTTACATAAGACAAATCAGTTGCAACAGAGGATCATAAACCCCTCGTGTACGGAAGGAAAACAAGTTTGTCAATGTGCAAACTGTAAGTCTAAGTTCCTACTTCTGTAAAAAGTAGAGTTTCCTCTTCAAAGACTTTCCTTCCCATCTCATTAGAAATAAATAGTAACTTCTCTTAGAAGCAAAATTTATTCAAAGACCTGTGCTAACATTCTTAAATATCTGCTAGCCCTAATAAAGAAATCAATGTACTTTATGTTCTTAGCTCCCACAATTTAGCCTAAATATTTGCCCTGGCATGCTTATACTAGTCCAAGCAAGCTTTAGGTCATTGCCTGTTCCTCTTCTTTATTCGAAGGTGTTTTTACTTTTTTCAGCATTCCACAAGTTATTTCCTCCTTCCTTCGTTCTCCTCTGCCTTTTCCTCTTTAAAAAAGTTCTAAATTGCTAGCCAATCGGGACAAATACAGAATGTGAGGTCCCGTTCCAGCCACTGGAAACTGGACACAGCAGTAGGGTGGATGCATCAGGTTATAAATGACCCTGTCTCCTTTGCTCAGTATACTGTTGTGGCAAAACTGCTGGCGAGTGTACACTTTCTGCAGAAATTAAAAAAAAATAAAAATGGCCTTGCTGAGGAAATTAAATTTACATTCAAGTGCTATTTCTTTACCGCACTGGGAACAAGCATTTCAAACAATTTCAACCCTGCTGGACCGCATCAAGTGAGGGCCGGCATGGAAAAGCGGCCATGCCGAGGTGCCCCGGAAGCAGCCTCCGGAGTGTGCCTCAGAGTTTCTGGCCATTTCAGCTAAGACTTTTCTTCTGACAGACTAGAAGTGAAAAAAAGAATTATTTATTTTGCTGGGAAATGTGACAAAAGGTTAAAATTCTACTAGTTCATAAAATATTTGAAGCTAACTTTGTTTTTATAAATAAAATTGTATTTACAATTTAAGTTTTAGTTCTCATCCTTGCTGTTATAAAAGTTATTCTAAGTTATGTCAGTCTTTGAGGGTAAATGTAGAGTATTTAAAATAGCTTATATTTGGAAAACTGAACAGTGTTTGTTGTCATGATTTTACTTTGTTCTTGACCACATTGGTCCCAGAGAAAGTCAAGGTCTTCACCCACGGATTCAAGATTCTTGTGGCAGCTGCTGAATTCTTTTCCAACAATGCTTGGGCCTCATCAGCATCATGTTTGTGCACTACCCCAGCCCCAACCACAGACATGGGCAGGAGGAACAGAGCTCTACCGTGTAGCGTCACTGCCAGTAAGAGTCTGACTCTCCCATGAAGCATTACTCTTCCTCTGCATGTATCTTAGAATTTCAAAAGCCATTTGGCCTCCATTTCTTTAGATTGTGGATAAGATCCATAAACTTGTACTGGGGTCACTGTTCCTCCAGCCTCTTTAGCACGTATCTGCAGTCTCATTTCCAGGCTGTTTCCTCTATGGGCCACTGCCTGCAGAATTCCCAGATGAATCCATTGCCCATTCCCTGTAGCCACATCTCCAAATCCACAGCCGTTCTCAGCAGCTGCCTGCACACTCACATCCCAGAGGTCAAGTTGCCACAGCTGGTGTGTGTTTCCAGCCACTAGGCAACCCCAGGTCTTCATCTGAGCACCCAGGGCCAGAAGTCTCACCCTGTCCCCCATACCATCCCTTCCCAGCCAGCCACAGTTTCCTTCCTTCTGTTGCTCACACAGTGCTCTCAGCCCCAGATGCCCTTCCTGACACTTCCTCCCAAGGAAACCCAAGTCCTCCGTCAGGGTCCATCCAAATGTCCACACCCTCTGGTAGCCTGCCCAGCCCCAGAGGCTCCCCTGAGCTCCCTTCCCCCATTAGAGCCTACAGAGGCAGTGCTGCCCAG
Organism: Homo sapiens; assembly: GCF_000001405.40. Taxonomy (NCBI): domain Eukaryota; kingdom Metazoa; phylum Chordata; class Mammalia; order Primates; family Hominidae; genus Homo; species Homo sapiens. The sequence continues at coordinate 83,515 of NT_187539.1, read as the reverse complement.
CAGACATCTCGGCTGGGAGTCAAACAGAGCAAGGCTATTTTGGTCCCTCTCTCCACTCTATGTGACCCTGAAATGTGCCCTGGCCTTAGGAAACCTTCAGCTACATCAGAGAACGTGAGTATGCATGTGGTTTGTATAACACAGGCAAGACATGGTTTTTAGATACGTTCAGAATAGATAGTTACAGAGAACAGGTATGTTACATGTGGGAAGGAAGAGACACAAGGGCCAAGAGATACTTAATATGCATGAGGCTCCTGGGCACTAAATGTTCAATTCACAATGTGCCTTTATACAAGAGACACCTAAACATGCAGAACCATGGGGCCTTTGTTCACCACCATTCCTGGTGCCCATTCTGGTCCCATGCGTCCTCTGCCCAAGAAACACGTAGAACCCATGGCAGTGCGACAGCTGCTTCTTGGCAACTCCACCATGATCAGGCACACTTGTCCCATGTCTGTCCCGTTGAGCCGGTGTGTGTCATAAGCCCTTCAGCTGTGAGCACTCTTGCCCAGACCTCGGCTCTGGTCCTCGTGGTCACACCTGAGTGGGTGAGGTTGACTAGCAGAGAAAGAAGAGAACCGATGAATGTTGACAGCACAGGAATCAGGTCATACGGCCCTCCCATCTCCTTCCCTCAGCTTCTTGCTGTGTTTTACGAATGGATTTTATAAACCTGTGATTCGAGCATCCTCAGTTGCTTCTCGAGCCTTTCCGCTCCATGAACTCTGGGACAGCTTGCCTGGTACTGCAACTGGAGGACATCAATCATTGCATCCAGAGAGCTTCCCACATGACAGTCTGTGAGCAAGGGACTTCGCCTCCCTGGATGGTGGTTTTCTTTTATGTAAAAGATGTGATCGTAGTCTCTATTTCTCAAGGGTGCTGTGAGAAACACACAGAATAAGGCCACGTGAAAGTGTGTGGCAGGTAGCGGATGCTCAGTAACGTGAAGCCTGCCCTTCCCGTAGCCTTTCTCTTCCTCCACTGGGTCTAGACTTCACATTGTCCATGGTTCGAGATCCTTGGTTCATCCCGAGTCTTATCATCATCCCAGAAGCTTGGAGGGAGCTCCTGGGGAAATCCAGCTTCACGGTCCCACACTGATCACTTCCCCTGGGCATGGCCTGGTAAATGCAGCTCAGATCCGCTCCCCAGGCAAGTCAAGGAAGTTGCTGCCCAGAAACCAAGTGAGGACATTTACAAGAACTGGCAGCAGCAGCAGCAGCAGCAGCAGCAGCAGCAGCAGCAGCAACTGGATTTGCTTTTTCACCAGAGGATCCAGATTTCCCTGTGGCCTCGCAAACAAAAAAGAAGGAAGACGGAGCAGCACAGTCATCCCTTTGTGAAAAAGGCATTCAGGTAACTGAGTGACTCAGCAAGCCTGGGTCTTGGGGAAATTACGAATACCTGGTTGAAGGGCAGTCCTCAGGCAGAGCCCCTGAGACCCGTTGAACTCTAGAGTGTGGGAGCAGAGGAGATTCAGGGCCTGCCCAGGGGCAGAGTGCCCCCAGGACTCGCCCTGGCTCAGTTAAGGACTCCCCTCAGGATCTGCAGAGGTGCAAGGCAGGGTGCAGCTCTGCCTGGACTGAGCTGGAAATGCAGCCGTGTGGCTGAAGTGGCCACTTCCTGCTTTCTGTAAAGCAGCCACGGGGACCTGTGAACAGGTAAGACCCTTACTCTTGATTACTGAAGAACTAGAACCCAGGCTCCCTTGACCTTCTCTCCAAAAACCCAGATGACACGAGGACCCTCTCCCAGCTGAAGGGGCAGATTCATGCTTTAGAGTGTGGGGAGTCAGCGTGGGGGCACGTGAGTGTTTAGCTTAGGTGTGGGCCTCACAAAAGAGTCAAAACAAGCCAGCCAGGACTCCAGCAGCCTTCATTGTGTGAGAGATGCCAGCACTGTGGCCACAGCCTGACAGCTGCGCAGGCCACATAATGTGTGGGGCCGAGTGGAAAACGTGGGTTTTTTTTTGTTGTTGTTGTTCAAAATCATGAGCTTCCAGGGGCGGCAGCAGAGCTTTAAACTACTCTGGGGCCCTTCTGAGCACAGGACTTGGTATGACTGCACAGGGATACCTGGCAGGCCAGGTGCAGGGACAGAGCGGTCTGCCCAGAGGCCAGCAGGTCCCCAGTCAGTGTCTGGCACCAGCTCCCTTCATGACCTGGGCTGGCTCAGTTCCACGGGACTCCCAAGGCTGGAGGCTTCCCTGGAACATCATCCTCAGGGATTTCCCAACAGGAGCAGCCTCTGGCTTCAGATCTGTCCTTGTTTGACTCATAAATTATCACTCAGACTGAGAAAATTAACACTCAGTGATTCCTGAAAGGGTGCCCAGTGCAATAGATAATTTTCAAAGTGAGTTCATCGGGGGATTTAATAGCCAGGCAATGTCCATTAAAACAGCGACAAACATGGGGAGAAAAGGAATAGTTCCAACTGGAAACTCATGCTGGCTTGACAGTTGTTCTCAGGGAGCAGAACAGAAGTGGGCATTTTCATTCTGGTTACACCATCAGCGATACCTCCACGGAGCCTCTCAGCTGGTTCCTCCTGGGTCTGGGCCACAGGCCTCCCAGTATTGCCGGTCTCGGAAGACATCTGTGGGCAGGTTCTGTAGAGGGAATCTGAGGCTGTGTGGGATGAGCTGCAGGACCCCATGTGGGGAAAGGCAGGAGGCAGCACCAGCTCCTTCACCAGGACCTGAGGGTACTGTGGCTCATCAGGGGCCATCGAGGACATGGAGACCCTGCACAGTGTTTGAGGAGTCCTGCTACATCAGTTTATTCTGGTTTAGGTGGTTGAGGGGAGACTCAGTGAAGTCTTGGGGGTTCAGAGCTACACTGCCAGCCTCTGGGACAGCAGCCCCAGTGTCCCCCGACCCAGGCCTTTCTCCTCCCTGCTGATGAACGCCCACTCTGCTCCCAGATGCACACCTGTCCTGAAGACACCCGGTTCTCATGCTCTTCTCTGCAGCACCTGAATTGGGCATTCCTGGGTAAAGCTGTTTAAGTTACTTTCACTTTTATCCACTTGTTTCCGTTATTTCAACCATGCATGTCCCTTGTGTATGTAGGATAAAGGTGTCTAAGAATAAAGGTCCATGATTTAAAGTTTTTTCCTCTTCTTTCCCTGTCCTGACCACCTGATCATAAACTTGTAGAAATAAAGTGGATCTCATGTTGTGTATCTTTCGATGCATCTAGAGAGATGGTTATATTCATATAAATAAACGGGCACATCCAGCACACTATTTCTAGTTGTCGTCTGCTAATAAGTTTACATCTGGTAAATGCCAGTGTTTCATCAAATGGCTGCATTGCACATGAGTCAATCTGTGTGACAAAGAATATGGCAGGTTTTGTACAGCCTTTGTAAAGACGTTCTTCAATGCTGCCTTTTAAAATAGAAATGTTAAATCCTGTAACTAATCAACCTATGCCTTGTTAGAGGGCTGACATTTTCAATAATTCCTTTACAAAGGGTAGTGAGATGCATCAGATCCCCCAGTGGCCCCCAAGTAGGGACAGTGACAGTCAGCAGTTCTTTACGGACACCTGCTCCGTGGCAGGTTCTCCGCCGGCTCTGGCTGCGGGCGGCCCTCATCTAACAAGATGCTTCGGTCCATGGGTGGAGGACAAAGGCCTACGGGCTTGGGGAGCGAGTTCTTTCGTCTCCTACATGACCTTCATCTGCTCGCGTTTGCCATGAAGCGCATCTGGGTTGGAAGGAGATGGTGGTTTCCCACGGAAGTCTGGTCCCTAAGTGACGCCTCTGCTGCCTACATCAGAATCTCCCAGGCTTGCTCCACAGTGGTCCCGTCATGTGGTGCAGACTCAGGCGCTGTCTTGTGTGTGCAGAGGCAGGCTTGGTCTTGTGTGCTCTTGATCATGCACCTAGTCACATCTGTTCTACAGTGTTGCATTCTTCTAATTTCCATGCACATCTTTGCATAGGCGTGTTCCCATTGTTCCCATGCCAATAAGTGGTGTGCAAGGTTCCAGAGTGCGCCAGTATTTCTTTAGTCGGTGTCATGCTGTTGGATATTCAGGTTTTTTAACCTAGTGTAAATAACATTCACATTTCTAAAAACCAGAAGAGTGTTTGTGATTAAGATATCATCTTAGTGGATATTAAATTGCTGCATCTGATTTCATTTCTCTTTCCCAAATAGTCAGTTGTGTGGGCTAGTCTCATTCTGAAACTGCACACTCCCATCCCAGAGGTAGAAAGCGAGATCTCCTGCCTGCATTTCATGGAGCATGTGATTATGGAGGTGTCCAGTCCCAGCAAACAGACCCCACATTCTTTTCCTTCAGTGACTCAGACGCAATATGTGGAGAGTCCCAGACAGTATCGCTCCCTCACGTTCATTAACCTCCAGAGATTAAACGTCACCTGATACACAGAACTGTGGGTTCCCCGTTTGGCTAAGCATCAGGTGCAGCCAGGTTCTTACCTAGGTGCACGTGACAAGGTGCTGCCAGATGCCACCAGCGCGGACAGTCAGTGAGCCCACCTCATCAGAGGGCACATGAGATCCCCAAATGAGAAAGAACTCTAAGGAGCCAAAATCTGCCAAGATGGGTACATTAAAGCTTGCAACTTTGCACGTGAGTGCACCCTCAGACTCAGCCAGTTTATTCTCCTTTGCAGTCCATTCTGAAAAGTCCAGCCAGATGATGGCTAAAGAGTAGAGAATGGAAGGTGGAAGGCGGTTGCTGCTTGCAGAAGAGGCACGCTGGCAGCATTGGCAGGGAGGAGGAGACTGGAAACTGAGTAGCAGATCCGAGAAACCAAAATGCTCAGCAAATGAGGGCAGGTGGCATGGAGCTACTTCCCTGGGTCCAAGAGCCTAATTACGTTATTGTTCCATAAGTTCATGGCCTGCGGTCATCAGGGAAAATAAAACACTGACTAGGGGTCGGTCTTTTCTGTTTAGAGGAGGCTCCCTGAAACCTCCCCCTCCCGGGTTCAAGCGATTCTCCTGCCTTAGCCTCCCGAGTAGCTGGAACTATAGGCGCCCGCCACCACTCCCGGCTAATTTTTTTTTGTTTTTTTGTTTTTTGTAGAGACGGGGTTTCACCGTGTTAGCCAGGATGGTCTCGATCTCCTGACCTCGCGATCCGCCCGCCTCGGCCTCCCAAAGTGCTGGGATTACAGGCGTGAGCCACCGCGCCCGGCCTCAGCAGGTTTTTCAAAAGTCATGGCGTGTAATTGTCCGAACAGTGAACTTCGGAGATCCACCGGAGGGGCGAGGCCACAGCTCGACCGCGAGCACCTGAGCATCCTGCACCGCCTGCGACGGCCGTCAGGGGGCGCGATGCCGCCTCACAGAACCTCAAGCGGCGCCCGGGTTCCGGCACAGACGGCCTGCGGCTCCAGGGGGCGGAGCCGAGCCGTCTCCTCAGGACCTACGCAGGAGGCGCCGTCATCCCTACAGGGACACCTGAGAGGGCCCAGCCTCCTCCTCCTCAGGACCCACTCGGGAGACGCCGCTGGCTCTCTAGGAACACCTGGGGACCGTGGCCAGGGACGACCCAGCCTCCTTCTCCTCAGCTCCTCAGGAACGACTGGGGAAGCTGTGGCTTCATGGTCCCCGAGGCTGCCCGAGGAAAGGTGAGGAAAAAGCTTTCTGTCCCGGCTCAGTGCTGAGGAGGCCGCGCTGCCTCGCGCTCCACTTTCTCAAGTTGTATTTATTTTATTTTACAAAGTGGCCCATCATTAAGTGGCTTTGTTATTCATTATTACAGCATACCTGAGTTGTTTCATTTTTTAATTTTTGACCAATTTGGGTTTGTTTGGGGTGGATCCGGGACAGAGAAGGGAGAAACCCTGAGGGCAACATGGAGAGCCCCAGGGAGACGCGCACCCCACGACTTGCTTTTATTTGCGTTCCAGTGGCTCGTTTTTCTTAGAGTGTTAAAGTACTTGAAAAATATTGAAGAGCAGATGTAGATGTGAGTTTTCACAACCGTATTTTAAGTGTAAATACTGGACTTTGTTAAAAGGATTTGAGGTAAAATAAATTTAAGCGGAGTTTATTTCAGCAAAGGAATGGTTCATGAATCACGCGGGAAGCACCAGAACGGAAATCGGCTTGGGGCTTCGAGCTCTTAGGGTGGCCCCTAAGTGAGGCTCCTCAGTGGCTCCAGCTAGGCCACCGCCTGTTGTGGGGATGGTTCCCTCAGCGGCCCTAGTCATACAGCCAACTGGCTGCTGGGCTTTTTGGCATTGACTGTGGTTGGTTTGTTAATTTTTTTAAGTCAGTTCAAATGCCTCCAAGTTCGGTTTCTGTTTGCTTAGGGAAGGCCTCAGGCTAACCCCCGCCGTATTTGCTTTAACATGTCAAAACCATAATTTATTTTTCATTTTACTTTCCTGGCATTAATAGAAGTAAATTCACATTTGTGTGTTATTCAGAAAGTCGGTTTAATTGGCAACCTATTTGTGATGGTGCATAAAGTAATGTCTTTTAATCATTGGCATCTTAGATTAGATGAAATATGTTAACTCTCTTAAGCTTTGTTATTAACCCATAACAAGAGTTAAGTTTCTTTTTTTCTCCTAGGCTTTGACCATTTAAAATACACTCAGGCATCTCGTAACGATGTTATACTTTCTGAGAAATCTGTCCTTAGGTGATTTCATCTTTGTGTGAACACTGTAGAGTGTCCTTATAAAACTTAGATGGTGTAGCCCACTCCACACCTAAGTTACATAGTATAGCCTATTGCTCCCAGGCTACGAACCTGTACAGCATGTCTCTGTACTGAATGCTGTAGTCAACCATAACACCATGGTGATTGTAGATTGTGATCCCAGAATATCTGAGACAGGTCTCAGTCAATTTAGAAAGCTTATTTTGCCAAGATTAAGGACACGCCCATGACACAGCCTCAGGAGGTCCTGACGACGTGTGTCCAAGGTGGCCAGGGTAGAGCTTGCTTTTGTACATTTTAGGGATACATGAGACGTGTAAGATGTACAGTCATTTGGCCCAGTAAGGCGGGACAACTGGAAGCAGGAAGTGGGGGTGCTTCCAGGTCAGAAGTAGGTTAGAGACAAAAGGTTGCATTCTTTTGAATCCTTCATCAGCCTTCCACTGAATACACAATTTAGTCTGGCTCAATGAATCTGCATTTTTACATAAATAATAGGGCAGAGGAAGCAATCAGATATGCATCTGTCTCAGGTGAGGGATGACTTTGAGTGCTGTCTGTCCTTTGTCCAAAAGGAAATTCTTTGTGGGCAAATTGTGAGTGAGGTATGTAGCTTTTTATCTTTGTAGCTATCTTAGGAATAGAATGAGGGCAGGTTTGCCTGACATAGCTCCCAGCTTGACTTTTCCCTTGGCTTAGTGATTTGGGGGTCCTGAGATTTATTTTCCTTTCATGGTATCAGAACAGAGAAAAGGTAATGCGTTGAGCCATGAGCTTATGACAAGATGGCTAGGAAGGAATTTTTCAGCTCCATTTTTATCTCATGGGACCACCATCGTATGTATGCAATGCACGAGTGTAAAATCACATTTAGTTAAGTCAGCTTACACTAAGCTATGGACCCAGATGGTCCTGGGGCCTTTTTCCACTGGGAGATCTTTAAGGACCTTTCTTAGCTTTTCTATGCTAATTGGTATATTCATAGTTGCCTTATTTCAGTGCCCATTTTGTTAATGTGTATTTTTACTAGGAAATCACCCATTTTTTCTAGGTTTCCAGTTTGATGCAATTATTTGACTTTTAATTTCTCCTCTGTTTTTAGTTTTGTACATAATTTTCCTATCTACTTTTGCACTCTTTTTTCCATCAACAATGTTTTTAAAATATACTTTTTAGCTTTTTTTGAAGAATTGTTATGTTTGACAATTTTTTATGACCTAATCATGACCGTAAATGATTTTTAATTAATTTCAGCTTAATGTCTTTTGTAGGGCACAACTGTTAAAATACAAAATTACAACAAATGTGGGTTTGCAGATCTTAATTGGCTTTTTTTGTGGTTCTAGAATCAGGCAGCAGTCCAGACCAAAAATGGTTCAGAATGATCTGCCACACAACATGTGCGGGTTATATTTATAGCCAGAGAAAAAAAGTGACATACAGAAGACAGAAGTGAGGTATAGAGGTGGCTGGATTGGTTACAGACCTGGTTACAGCCCGGATTTGCCTTCTTGGAACTTGTTTTGAACAGCTGGCTGCCGGCCATTGACTGACACTCGGCTGATGTGATTGGCTGAACCGCCGCTATTTGTTACCATGATACATTCCCAAGTCAGATTTACAGTTTGTTTCTATACTAAATTAGGTTGCGATTCTTCTTGTTCTTCTTCTTTTTTCTTTTTTGAGGCGGAGTCTCGCTCTGTCGCCCAGGCTGGAGTGCAGTGGCGCGATCTCAGCTCACAGCAAGCTCCGCCTCCCGGGTTCATGTCATTCTCCTGTCCCGGCCTCCCGAGTAGCTGGGACTGCAGGCTGCCGCCACCAAGTCCGGCTAATTTTTTTGTATTTTTTTTTAGTAGAGACTGGGTTTCACCTTGTAAGCCATGATGGTCTCGATTTCCTGACCTCATGATCCACCCGTCTCGGCCTCCCAAAGTGCCGGGATTACAGGCGTGAGCCACGGCGCCCGGCCGCGACTCTTTACAAGGACTCCTTGGGAGGCTTCTAGAGCCCAAATGTTGTTTGATGTAAGAATTCCTCCCTTTTGGTCAGCCTCTCAATTTTGAGATATTGATCAAAACTTTGGGCATTGGTGTCACTCTTTGTTATCGTTGTAAATTGAGTTATTAGGACTTATTTGCTTTCAGTGTGGCATTTTCAAGTTTTATTTGGTCTCAGTGCCCTCTGGGCAATAGCAGAACACTGTGTTGTGTAAGGCGGAAATAGAGCAATAGAAAATAACAACTGATTTGTTAATAACAGATTACTTCAAGTTACTTGTTTTGGTAAGAATTAAAGCAGAGGGGACTTCTTTATGCTGACTCAGGTAGACTGGAATCTCTTCAGGGAAAAAGGGAGCTCTTTTGGGATCTATCTACTTCCTTAAAGTTTCAGCTTCGTTGTGTGTCATTCAGCGTGAGTGTCTCCATTCTGGTTTTGCCTGCTCAGTGTGGCCTAATGCGGGAGTGGTGACCGAAACAATGACCTCCCGTAGTTTGTTCCACAGTTCTCCCCTTTTGGTTGGGTTCCTGCCTAGGTGAGGGTGTGACTAAAACCTTAGGGCATTAGCAGTATTCTCAGTAACTATCATTTTAGGGTTCCGGTCTTAGGGCATTAGCACTATTCTCAGTAACTATCATTTTAGGTTTCCGGTCTTAGGGCATTAGCACTATTCTCAGTAACTATCATTTTAGGTTTCCGGTCTTAGGGCATTAGCACTATCCTCAGTAACTATCATTTTAGGGTTCCGGTCTCAACACGTCATTTAAGAAGTCAGTAAAGCTTTCTTCTATTGTGACAGCATATTTAATACTGAGAAGGAAAAGAAAATTTTTATCTTGCGAATGTGAGCTTCCTCTAAATTATCAGGTCCAGAGAGGCGTGGGAATGAGGCAGCAGTCACGTCCCATTTCCCGCTTAGCTAAGTAATCATATCTTGAAGCTGCTTGCTATGTAGACTAGACTGACTGTCATCAGCTATAGATTAACCTAAGAGTGTCTTTGAATATTTTTTCCAGTGGCAAATATTTGCTTCTGTTGTATCGTAGCTGAAAGGAATGCTGGGAAACAAAATAAAGGCAAGCATTCATTAGAATAAGTGATCCAGTCACAATGAATCAATTTGAACTTTTTTTTTTTTCGCAAAGTCATACTTTGAAAACGTCCAGCCGTAAATTGAAATAGTCTCCAAAATGTGAATTTTTTTCCCTGGTTCTAAGATGACCAGCTTTCTTAGAGAGTGAACTACACCATAAGGAAAATGATATGACCATGTTTACACATATATGTTATCTTAACATAAAACATGTAAAAGGGGCATTTCTTTGAAAGTATATATTAGTCTGTATAATTTACTTTGCAGTATCATGAATGCTCTTATTTTTAAAAGTAGTAGTAGTTACTGTCAATTACTAATTTTTAGTACAAATAATTTAGCAGATATCTGAAAAAATTACAATTTTTAAATAGAGGTTTTATTTTAAATTAGTTTTAGATTCATACAGAAATTGGGAAGAAAATGCAGATTTCCCATGTAGACGCAACCTAGTTTCCCCGCTTTTTAACATACCAACATGTATCAGATAGGTTTAACATCTTTTTTTTTTTTTTTTTTTTTTTTCAGACAGAGTCTCAACCAGGCTGGAGTGCAGTGGCGTGATCTCGGCTCACTGCAACCTCCGCCTCCCAGGTTCAAGCGATTCTCCTGCCTCAGCCTCCTGAGTAGCTGGTATTACAGGCGCCTGCCATCATGCCCGGCTAATTTTTGTATTTTTAGTAGAGATGAGGTTTCACCACGTTGGCCAGGCTGGTCTTGAACTCCTGATCTCAGGTGATCCGCCTGCCTCAGCCTCCCAAAGTGCTGGGATTACAGGCATGAGCCACCACTCCTGACCAACATCTTACATCATTTCTTGTCATACTTAATGACTGGATATTACTATATTATTAAATAAGCTCACATCTTATTTGGTTTCCCTTAGTTCTGCCTTTTTCTCTCCCAGGATCCTATCTAGGATCCCATAGGACATTTAGTCATCATGTCAGGCTCTTCTTGGCTGTGACAATCTCTCAGACTTTACTTCTGAGGACCTGGAACAGTGTTAGGAGGATCGGTCAGGTATTGTGTAGAATGTCCTCCATTGTGGTTTACTTGGGGTTTTTCTCATAATCAGCCTGGGTTTAGGGGTTTGGGGGAAGCAGAGCAGATGTGTAGTGTGTCCACAAAAAGAGTCAAAGACTGTAAAATATTTTAAGAGATGTATTCTGAGCCAAATATGAGTGACCATGGCCCTTGACACAGCCCTCAGGAGACCCTGAGAACATGTGCCCAAGGTCGTTGGGGTGCAGGTTGGTTCTATACATTTTAGGGAGATAGGAGACATCAATCAAGTGTATTTAAGATATATATTGGTTCGGTCCAGGAAGGTGGGACAACCCAATGGATTAGGGTGGGGGGGGGGCTTCCAGGTTATAGGTACATTTAAAATTTTTCTGATTGGCAGTTTGTTGAAAGACTTACTATCAATAGAAAGGAGTGTCTGGGTTATGTTAAGGGGTTATGGAGACCAAGGTTTTATCATGGAAATGAAGCTTCCAGGTAGCAGGCTTCAGAGAGAATAGATTGTAAATGTTTCTTATCAGATTTAAGGTTGTGTTGATGTTAAATGCTGATTGGCTTTTCCTGAATTCCAAAAGGGAGGAGGGCATAATGAGGCGTGTCTGACCACCTCTTTCCCATCATAGCCTGAACCAGTCTTCCAGGTTAACTTTGGTGTCCCCTGGTGGAGAGGTGGTTGGGGGAAAGATCTTTGAATTTTATTTTTGGTTTGCAAGTGCTAGTCTAGTCACTTCACGCTCTCAAGATGTGTTATCACCATTAATGTTAACTTTTATCACTTGGTTGAGGCAGTGTTTTCAGGTTTTTCACTGTGAAGTTACTTTTTTCCCATGTCTATATTGTATGTATGCTTTTGGAGGAAGTCATCATGCAGAGCTCATACTTAAAGGAGTGGGGAGTTAGCCCCACCTCCTTGATGGCTGTCTGTATCAGGTATTTGGAATTCTTCTGTATAAGAGATTTCTATTCAGCCCATTTGCATATCTGTTTAATCATTTATTTATACCAGTATGGGTCCACAGATAGTTACTTTAATCTTTTGGTTGTTATCTAATTGTACAGTATTTTGTTGCTCTTTGTTCATACCTGTGGCCATTGGTAGCTCTTTCCACTGGCTTCTTTTACATAATTTCATGTTTTTTTTTTATAATTTATTTCTGTTACTTCAAAAGTACCCTGGCTCATATATTTTCTGTCCCAGTCCTAGTTTCAGCTATTTCTTCTAATAGCCCTGATTTCTTTTGTTAGAGAATGGTATGAAAAACTTACATCTGGCCACTAAATGTGGTCATTGCATCATGACACTTACAGCTGACAGTGCAAAGAAATATATGTGTGTCTTCTAACTTATATGTACCCACTTAATTATAAAGGTTTCTATGTGGAACCATCTATGTATATGTTAAGCTAAATGTGAGTTTATACTTACGTTGTATATATATATTCTGACTCATGATGACAGAGACCACTCTAGGCTTCCCTATTTTTTATCTGTAACTTCTCACTGTAATAGTGAGGAACCTGGCTCCTACCATCTGCCGTATACATTCTGACTCCTGATGACAGAGACCACTCTAGGCTTCCCTGTTTTTTATCTGTAACTTCTCGCTGTAATAGTGAGGAACCTGGCTCCTACCATCTGCCGTATACATTCTGACTCCTGATGACAGAGACCACTCTAGGCTTCCCTGTTTTTTATCTGTAACTTCTCGCTGTAATAGTGAGGAACCTGGCTCCTACCATCTGCCGTATACATTCTGACTCCTGATGACAGAGACCACTCTAGGCTTCCCTGTTTTTTATCTGTAACTTCTCGCTGTAATAGTGAGGAACCTGGCTCCTACCATCTGCCGTATACATTCTGACTCATGATGACAGAGACCACTCTAGGCTTCCCTGTTTTTTATCTGTGACTTCTCACTGTAATAGTGAGGAACCTGGCTCCTACTATCTGCCATTCATTTCATCCCTTGTACCACTGGGAACAAGGAATTCATTCTTGATCAAGATTCCAGGTTGGGACTTAATAAGAAATATATGTTTGGTCTGTGTCTGCAGTTCCTGGTACAGAGCTTCTAAAACTATTATAATTTCCTGAACAGTAGGGGTGCTAGGAGCATCTTGTGTTCTAATATTTGGTCTTTGGCCCTGGTTCCTGACGCAGAGTTCCTAAATCTCTTGGAATCTCCTGGATAATAGGAATGGCTTCTGTTCTAATAAGGACACTCTGTGGGTTCCTGGGTGGTTTCAGGATGGGGATGGTCACCAGAAAGACCAAGCCATGATAAGAAGGTTGTAACTTTTAGCTTAACATGCAATCCTTTGAGGGTGTGAAGGGACTGGAAATTGAGTTAATAATCCGTCATGTCTACATGATGAAGCTTCCATAAAAATTCCTAAAATATGGAATTTGGAAAGTTCCAGATCAAGGCTGACAGATTTGATGTCTAGTGAGGGCTCATCTATCATAGATAGTGCCTTCTAGCATGTCGTGACATGGCAGAATGGGGAAACGGGCTCCTAGATGCTTTTATAAGGGCACTGGTTTCATTCATGAGGACAGCACTCTCATGATCCGATCACCTCTCGGTTACCTCTGAATACCATCCCTTTGGGGATTACATTTCAAAATAGGAATTTGGGGTGGGGGTGTACACACATTGAGACCATAATAACTAGTAAACATAAGTAAGTATTTCCTAGTTCCATAAGCCATCATAGCAAATTGTCAAACCTGAAGAGGGGGTGTAGGAATGCCTAGTTTCTAGCCAAGTCATATAGAAGTTTGGGTAAACTGGGGATTCACTACTTGTGATTGGCATCTGAGGTTGTGGACAGTCTGGTGTTACTAAGCCCTTAACCTGTAGGGTGTATACTAACTCCAGGTAATCAGTGTCACAGTTGAATTACAGGATACCCAATTGTTTTCCAGAGAGTTGGAATATTGGTTGGTATGGGAAACACCCCCCACCCCCCACAATTTGCTGTTAAAAGTGGAGTGTTGATAGTATAGAGGAAAATCATGGTTATTTTTCTTTTTACAGATATAGTAGTTTCAAAATTAACTATTATCCCTATGGGAAATAACTTTATAAAATAGAGTCCACTGTTCGTGTATATAGTACGTTTTGTTTTTAGTCTATGGATTCTACTCATTTCCAGCTCAGCACCTTTGGCCCACCACTTGCAACATACATTGGTAATACAGTTAGATTCTTGGTTGCACTCTGTATTTTGTCCTTAGATACTTCCACATCCTAAATAATTTAATTTGTGTAGGTTGTGATTTGTTCTTTGTGCATTAAAATTCTGTGGGTTTTATCAAATGCATAGTGTCAGATATCCACTACTGAAGTAGCATACAGAATACTTCAAATCCCCACCCCAGACAGTCACTGATCTGACTATCATCTCTTTGGTTGTGCTTTTTCCAGAATGTTATATGAATGGAGTCATATAATGTATAGCATCTTCATACTGCCACCCTTTACTTAGCAACATAGATGCAAGATTCATTCATTTGTTTTCATGGATTGACAGTTCATTCCTTTCTGTTGGTGAATGGTATTCCATTGCATGGTTGTACTTCAAATTGATTATGCATTCAGCTATTGAAGAACGTTCTGATTACTTCAAGTTTTGGCCATTATGAGTAGAGTGGCTCGTATATAATTACATGCTAGTTTTTGTTTGAACATAATTTTTCAAAGCAGCTGTCTAAACATACACAATTTAGGGGTGCATTTGTTGGATTGTAAGGTAAGACTTGTTTATCTTTGGGAAAAACTGTCAAACTATTTCCCAAAGTGGCTGTACCCATTCATGCATTCTGCCAGTAATGAATGGCCGTACCTATTGTTCTTCAACCTCCAATTTTTACTGTTGAGCTTTTTTAAGAGTCCCACAGTTGTACTAGGTGTGCAGTGATATCTCAGCATTATTTTAATTTGCAGTCTCCTAATGAGATATATTGAGCATCCTTTTGTGTGATTATGTGCTATCTGTATATTTTCTTTTTTTTCTTTTTTCTTTTTTTTTTATTGAGATAGAGTCTCGTTCTGTCACTCAGGCTGGAGTGCAGTGGCGTGATCTTGGGTCACTGCAACCTCTACCTCCAATGTTCAAGCAATTCTCTTGCATCAGCCTCCCAAGTAGCTGGGATTACAGGCACCCACCACCATGCCTGGCTAATTTTTTTGTATTTTTAGTAGAGAGGGGGTATCACTATGTTGGCCAGGCTGATCTCAAATTCCTGACCTCAGGTGACTCACCCGCCTCAGCCTCCCAAAGTGCTGGGGTTATAGGCATGAGCCACCACACCTGGCCTGCTATCTATATATTTTATTTGGCTGGATGTCTGTTCAGATATTTACCCAGTTTTATTTGGGTTTTTAGTTTTCTTAGTGTTCGTTTGAAGAGTTCTTTGTGTATTTTCAATACAGTTTTTAAAATCACGTTTGTATTTTGTAAATATCTTCTGACAGTGTGTCTTGTCTTTTTGTTCTCTGAATAGGGTTTTTCATAGTAGAAAATTTAGTTTTATAAAGTCTGTTCTCAGTATTTTCACGAATTGGCACTTGATGCTGTGTGTAAAAACTCAACACCAGATCCAATGTCTCTTAGGTTTTCTTTTAGGTTATTTATAGTTTTGCAATTGAAGTTGTAGTCTCTGGAGTATTTTGAGTAGGTTTTTGTGTTTTAATTTGTGTATAGAGTCATTTCATTCTATATGGCTTCCAAATAATTCTTCCATCACCATTTATGGGAAGGGTATGGATATACTGGCCTTTATTTCGGTTTGAATTTCCAAAATTATGACACTGAATAAACTGAATATTGAATTTTATAGGTATTTCAGGACAGCCAGGAGGGGGCGCACATCCGCCGAGAAACTGTGAGCAAGAGCGTCTGTGCTGAACCATGGCGCCACCAGAGGGCGCGCGATCCCGCCCCAACCAACTTCCCGCTGAGGTGCCAGAAGCAGCGAGGAGCTTCAGCTTCCTCAGGGCAGCACGAGGGTCGTGTTAACTTGGTGTTCTTCATTGGTGAGTAAAAAGCTCCTGTCCACGGCCCTGAGTGCCAAGGAGTGAGTCTTTAGAGTACTCAGCAGAGGAAGAAATTCATCTAGAAAAATAAAACCCCCAAATCTCACTGTTTGGAGTACACCCTAATATCATTGTCAACGTCCAAGACACAGTGGCTGTTAATATATATTCTTACAGTGGCCTCTAATATAATAATCACACTGTGCCCTACATTACTATGATATCCACACCGTGTCCTAACACCTATATAATATTCACACCATGCCCTAACACTGATGTAATCCACACCATCGCTTCCAAAACTAATGTAATAATATCCACACCATGCCCTAACACTGATGTAATCCACACCATCGCTTCCAATACTAATGTAATAATATCCACACCATGCCCTAACACTGATGTAATCCACACCATCGCTTCCAATATTAATGTAATAATATCCACACTGTGCCCTAACACCCATATAATATTCGCACCATGCCCTATCAATGATCTAGTCCACACCATCGCTTCCAATACTAATGTAATAATATCCACACCATGCCCTATCACTGATCTAGTCCACACCATCACTTCCAATACTAATGTAATAATATCCACAGCATGCCCTATCACTGATCTAGTCCACACCATCGCTTCCAATACTAATGTAATAATATCCACAGCATGCCCTATCACTGATCTAGTCCACACCATCGCTTCCAATACTAATGTAATAATATCCACAGCATGCCCTATCACTGATCTAATCCACACCATCGCTTCCAATACTAATGTAATAATATCCACAGCATGCCCTATCACTGATCTAGTCCACACCATCGCTTCCAATACTAATGTAATAATATCCACACCATGCCCTATCACTGATCTAATCCACACCATCGCTTCCAATACTAATGTAATAATATCCACACCATGCCCTAACACTGATGTACTCCACACCATCGCTTCCAATACTAATGTAATAATATCCACACCATGCCCTATCACTGATCTAGTCCACACCATCGCTTCCAATAGTAATGTAGTAATATCCACACCATGCCCTATCACTGATCTAGTCCACACCATCGCTTCCAATACTAATGTAATAATATCCACACCATGCCCTAACACTGATCTAGTCCACACCATCGCTTCCAATACTAATGTAGTAATATCCACACCATGCCCTATCACTGATCTAGTCCACACCATCACTTCCAATACTAATGTGATAATATCCACACCATGCCCTATCAGTGATCTAATCCACACCATGGCTTCCAATACTAATGTAGTAATATCCACACCATGCCCTATCACTGATCTAGTCCACACCATCGCTTCCAATACTAATGTAGTAATATCCACACCATGCCCGATCACAGATCTAGTCCACACCATCGCTTCCAATACTAATGTAATAATATCCACACCATGCCCTATCACTGATCTAGTCCACACCATCGCTTCCAATACTAATGTAATAATATCCACACCATGCCCTATCACTGATCTAATCCACACCATCGCTTCTAATACTAATGTAATAATATCCACACCATGCCCTAACACTAATGTAATATCTGCACCATTCCCCAACACCGATACAATATCCACACCATTCCCTAACACTAATCTAAATATCCATAGCATGCCCTAACAGTAATATATTGACACAGTGGCCTCTAATACCAATAAATATAATCATATCTACTAAGTGGACTCTGTTGACATTGAGACTTTTTTAAGGGTTTTACAGCTTTGGCTGAACTATAGCCTCTGTAATGGATTTTAATGATGTGTCTGCTTTCCTGGCATGGTATTGACATGGTTGTTTTAAAAAGTAACTTATTTTCCAATAATGTCATATTTCTAGGCAACTTCCAGTAGTAGTACAAAGTACAACTTGTTTCTTCCCTTAGGTTCCCCAACAGTTATTGCTGTACCAGATTTGCAGTGTCCCACAAAATACTCCGGTATGTTGTACTGAAAGCATGGACACTCTCCCAGGTAACTACCACATAACCCCTAGATCAGGAAATCAGCATTGTTCCTCCATGATAATTCGGTCCACAAACTCACTTCACTTTTACCTCATGCCACACTTGGGAGTATAATGTGTATTTTTTTTTTTTTCATTAGGATCCAGTTTTCTTTTCCTGGAACTGTTCCCCAGACTTTCCTGCGTATTTATGACCTTGACACATTTAAAGAGCATACAGGTTTTTGTTTGAACAGTTGTTTTCAGGTCTTTGGGGTATATACCTAGGAATGGAATTATTGACTCATATGGTAAATATATTTGTAACTTTATGAGGAAACATCAAATTATTTCACACGTAGGCTGCACCATTTCATATTGTCACAAGCAGTGTTTAAGAGTTCAAGTTTCTGCACATCTTTGTCAACACTTGTTAGTTTTTAGTATAACTATTCTTGTGTGAGTTAAGGGTTATCTCTTTATGGTTTTAATTATGGTAATGATGCTAAGCATCTTTTCATGTGCTTGTTGGTGAAGTGTGTATTAAAGTCTTTTGTCAATTTTTAGATTGGGTTGTCTTTGCTATGGAGTTGTAAAAGTTCTTTATACATTCTGGATAACAGACACTGATGAAGTATCTAATGTGCAGACATTTTCTTCCATTTTATAGGTTGTTGGAACGTAATAAGAGTTAATGTGTGGTCTCTGCTGCAGTGTCCTGAAACAGAGCGCTAAGCCTTGGGAATGTACGAAGTAATGTGTCTTTCGTATGCTAATGAAATGATTGATGGCTGGGGGCACCTGGACAGCCTCAGTGGGTCTGGCTGCCAAGGGAAGCAACCTTGTCATGAGAGGATTTGAAATTTCTTCCCCCGTCCCGTCTCTGTGAAGGGGAGAGGTGCTGATGGTTGAGTTGATCACCTATGGCCACAGACGTAACCAATCTGCCTGTGTAATAAAGGACAGGGTTGGGAGAGCATCTGTGTTGCTCTCCCAACACAGGAGATACTGGGAGGATCATATCTGGCGAGGGCATGGGAGGCCTGCATTCCTTCCATATACCTCACCTTGTGCATCTCTTCATCTGGCTTTTCATTTGTAGCATTTAAAAGATCCTTGGTAATGAGTCAGGAATAGTAAGTACACTGCTTTCATGGGTTGTGTAATGTTATGTAGCAAATTGCTGAACCCAATAAGGGTATTGTGGGAGCCTCCAATCTGTAGCAAAGTCAGACAGAAGGTAACCTGGGAACCTACTGTTTGTGGTTGGCATCTTAAGTGGTTACAGTCTTGTAACTGAGTACCCATATTTTCTTAAAGAAGAAATGAATTAGTTTTACCATTTTGCTGTTCCTGCATTTAGCTCTTTAGGAATGCAATTATAAGCTTTACTGTCTCTCCACCAGACACTTCCTATACTGCAAACTTTTCCAACTGTGTGATTACTTGTAAGTTCCAGGGACCAAACCTTGAAACAAACTGGCACTTCCCTATCTCTCCCCCACCAGGAGATTGGCAGCAGACAACAGTCAATTTACAACCTGGCTCTGCCCGTGGTGGTGCTAGCAAGACCACCTAATGGAGAAAACATCAGAGCATGTCCCATAGACCCCGCACCTCCTCACCTCATCCCCTGCATGCCATTCTGGCAAGTCCGAAGCCCCGCTTTCTGCCCAGAAAGTGGAAGCGCTTCCCTTAAGGCAAGAGCCTGTATGTTCCCTTCAGCTAAGCTCTGGCATAAAGTCACTTTCTTTTTACCATCCTTGTGTTTGTCATTTAAATTTGCAAGCAACAAGGGGCATGACGTGTATTCCTAGGACTGAGCCCTTAGCCTGTGGGGTCTGATGCTTTCTCCATTTACTGTCACAATTGGATTGCACTGTAGGACACCCAGCTGGTACCCAAGATTTGGTCTGTGTGGGGAAAAAACCCATGTATCTGGTAACAGAAGTGTTCTGTGTTGAGTGTTGAGAGTATACTATAAGACAGTTGTTTTTCCTATTATAACATTTTGTCTTTCAACTTTTTTCTTCATGTCTTCTGAGACATAAAAGTTGTGAATTTTGAGGAAATAAATTGATTTATTTTTCCTTTTGTGGTCTGTGCTTTTGGTGTCAGATGTAGGAAACTATTGCTATGTGTAAGGTCATGAATGCTTAACTGTACGTTTTCTTCCAGAGTTTTTAGTTTTCACCTGTTTTGGTCTTTGATCCATTGTAAGTTAATTTTTTATGTGGTATGAGGTAAGGATACAATTTCATTTCCCTTTATGTGGATAGCAAGTTGCCTTACATCACTTGTTGAGGACAGGATTCTTTCCCCAATTTACTGGTAATGGACCTTGTCTAAAATCAGTTGAGCATAGAGGTATTGTTTTCTGTCTGGACTCCCAATTCAATTCAGTTGATCTTTCTGTTTATTCCTGTGCAAGGATCCCACTGTTTTTATTACTGTTCCTTTGTAATAAAATTTGAAATTGGGATGTGATCAGGATCAGCTTATCCACTTCTGTCCCAAGGCCTTTGGGATTTTTGTAGGAATAACATCGAATCCACGGATTGCTTTGTGTACTTTGGGAAACTTAACAATGTGGTCTACAAATCCACAAATAAGATACATTTTTACATTTATTGGAAGTTTAATTTCCTTAAGTAATGTCTTATAATTTCCCTCATCTAAGTCTTGTCGTTTCATTCCATTTATTCCTAAGTATAATATTGCTATTGGTATTATTTAAGGTAGAATTTTCATAATTTGGTTTAGAGATTATTCATTCCTAGCATATACATATAAAATGGAATGTTTGGCCAGGCACCCGGGCTCATACCTGTAACCCAAGCAGGTTGAGAGGCTGAGGAAGGGTTAGGGTTAGGGTTGGGGTTGGGGTTGGGGTTAGGCTTAGGGCTTAGGGCTAGGGCTAGGGCTAGGGCTAGAGTTAGGGTTGGGTTAGGGTTGGGTTAGGGTAGGGTTAGGGTTAGGGGTTAGGGGTTAGGGTTCGGGTTCGGGTTTGGGTTATGGTTAGGGTTCGGGTTTAGGGTTCAGGTTTATGGTTCGGGTTAGGGTTCAGGTTAGGGTTCTGGTTGGGTTTAGTGTTAGGGTTTAGGGTTCGGGTTTGGGTTAGGGGTTAGGGTTAGGGGTGTGGGTGAGGGTGAGGATGAAGGTTAAGGGTTAGGGTTAGGGGTTAGGGTTAGGGTTAGGGTTAGGGGTTAGGGTTAAGGATTAAGGGTTAAGGGTCAGGGTCAGGGGTTTGGGTCAAGGGTTAGGGTTAGGGGTTAAGAGTTAGGGGTTAGGGATTATGGTTTGGGTGAGGGGTGAGGGGTGAGGGTGAGGGTTAGGGTTAGCGTTTTAGGGTTATGGTTAGGGTTAAGGGTTAGGGTTAGGGGTTAGGGGTTAAGGGTTAGGGGTAGGATAAGGGTAGGGTTAGGGTTAGGGTTAGGGTTAGGGTAAGGATTAGGGTTAGGGTTAGGGTTAGGGTTCGGGTTTAGGGTTCAGGTTTATGGTTCGGGTTAGGGTTCAGGTTAGGGTTCTGGTTGGGTTTAGTGTTAGGGTTTAGGGTTAGGGTTAGGGTTAGGGTTGGGTTAGGGTTAGGGTTCGGGTTAGGGTTAGGGTTAGGGTTAGGGTTAGGGTTAGGGTTCGGGTTTAGGGTTCAGGTTTATGGTTCGGGTTAGGGTTCAGGTTAGGTTTCTGGTTGGGTTTAGTGTTAGGGTTTAGGGTTCGGGTTTGGGTTAGGGGTTAGGGGTTAGGGTTAGGGGTGTGGGTGAGGGTGAGGATGAAGGTTAAGGGTTAGGGGTTAGGGTTAGGGTTAGGGTTAAGGGTTAGGGTTAGGGTTAGGGTTAGGGGTTAGGGTTAAGGGTTAAGGGTCAGGGTCAGGGTCAGGGGTTTGGGTCAAGGGTTAGGGTCAAGTGTTAGGGTTAGGGGTTAAGAGTTAAGGCTTAGGGATTATGGTTTGGGTGAGGGGTGAGGGGTGAGGGTGAGGGTTAGGGTTAGGGGTTAGGGTTAGGGTTAGGGTTAGGGTTAGGGATGTGGGTGAGGGTGAGGATGAAGGTTAGGGTTAGGGTTAGGGTTAGGGTTAGGGTTAGGGTTAGGGTTAGGGTTAGGGTTAGGGGTGTGGGTGAGGGTGAGGATGAAGGTTAAGGGTTAGGTTTAGGGGTTAGGGTTAGGGTTAGGGTTAAGGGTTAGGGTTAGGGTTAAGGGTTAAGGGTCAGGGTCAGGGGTTAGGGTTAGGGTTAGGGTTAGGGTTAGGGTTAGGGGTGTGGGTGAGGGTGAGGATGAAGGTTAAGGGTTAGGTTTAGGGGTTAGGGTTAGGGTTAGGGTTAAGGGTTAGGGTTAGGGTTAAGGGTTAAGGGTCAGGGTCAGGGGTTTGGGTCAAGGGTTAGGGTCAAGGGTTAGGGTTAGGGGTTAAGAGTTAGGGGTTAGGGATTATGGTTTGGGTGAGGGGTGAGGGGTGAGGGTGAGGGTTAGGGTTAGCGTTTTAGGGTTATGGTTTGGGTTAAGGGTTAGGGTTAGGGGTTAGGGGTTAAGGGTTAGGGGTAGGATAAGGGTAAGGATTAGGGTTAGGGTCAGGGTAAGGGTAAGGGTAAGGATTAGGGTTAGGATTAGGGTTAGGGTTAGGGTTAGGGTTTTAGGGTTAGGGTGTTAGGGTTAGGGTTAGGGTTAGGATTAGGGTTAGGTTTAGGGTTAGGGTACTGTAAATAATTTCACATTATTACTAATAATAAATTATTATTTGTATTACACTATTACATAATGTAAAGGCTATTAAGACATGTTTGTCTTCAAAGAATGGCGTTGGTTTCTGTGGGCAGTGCCTCCTCATGGAAGGGTAATGCATTCCTGCTAAATCATGGACTAAACGGGCTTCCAGGAGCTACAGGCTGCAGCAGCAGCTTCTCCTCTACGTCCTTCACTGCCTCAAACTGTTGTTGACTTTGAAAGCTTCTTTCAGTCTAGTTTTATCAACAGAGCTAGTATTTCATGAGGTTCTACTACATACCAGGTTCCAGAAAGCTAAATGCCTTTTGTTTGTTATTATTCTCTAAATACAAATCACAACTCCTCATTACTCACACAACAAAATTTAGCTGCGGGAGATTGAGTGACTTTCCCAGGGTCACATAGCTACTAAGAGCAGAGTCGTGTTTAGATTCATGTGGGAATATTGAACACAGAAATGAACCAGTGGAAACATCCTATGTTCCAAAAGCCTACTCAAGCCATTTGTTCTTATTTTAAGGAAAATCTTTATGCTAATTTTAAACTCCAAATACTTACGAATGGCAGAGATCTACAGATTTGATTCTGATGTAAGAAATGATGGTCACCAGCTGGTTACTGCTACCACCCCACAACCCCGAGCATACTGGACGAATGTCTAAGCCTTGTGGTTAGTGGGGACAATGCTGGTGGAGTCTGAAGTTGTCATGCAGTGACTCATGCAAGCTTAGGCAGATTTGGTGATATATGACACAGAGATGCAAAGAAATGTTGTAGCTGACACACACAGGCTGGCTCTGGGAGATGCAGAAGGAGCACGTCACCCAAAATAGAGCCAGACAGACATCCTTAAGGAAGGAGCAAAGGGGCTGCATCTTAAAGAATGTAGAAAGGATTTGTCATGAGAGATGGGGCAGGAAGTTCTTGAGAGGCAGAGGGAGAGCATGAGAATGTTGGGAAGGGAGGAGAGATTCTTGCACATCTGGGAAGCTGACAATCCATCAGCATGGCCAGAAGGAAAATAAGGAGGAGGAGCAGAAATAGATGAGGCTGGATATAGAAGCAGGGCTGAAGCTGTGTCAATTGTGGTAAAGAGTTGTGATTCTATCCAGAACGCAATAGGTAGCATTCTAAACAGAGATCTTTTAAAACAAGAGTCAGCAAGTATTTTCTGCAAGGGGCTAAATGTTAAATATTTTAAGTTTTCCAAGCCATATGGTCTCTCTCTCAATGACTCAGCTCTTCCATTATACCATGAAAGTAGCCAGAGACATTATGTAACACATGTATTGGCTGTGTCCCATTACAACTTTACTTACAAACGCAGACTGTGTCAGACATGGTCCATGCATGGTAGTTTGCCACACTCTGTTTTAGAAAGCTCAGGTTTATGATGTGATGGAGAATGCCCACAAGAGCTCTTGTTTTAAACGGTAGAGTGAACATACACTGGAATTCTATCCTGCTTGACACAAGCTCTTGATAGCGAAAGGTAGAAAAGATAGATGGTAAATGGATAGATAGATGATAGATAAAGAAAATACATAGCTGTTCCAGAAAACAGAAATGGATAACTTCATGAACCAAAAGCAGAGTAATATACTTTAGAAAGGAAGCAGGCCGGAAAACCCACAGTTGCAAAACAAATAGAATTTCCAACTGCCTCTTGTAGCCCCTTCCTGGAAGTAGTCACAGCCCGGGGTGTTCAACTTCTTCCTCTGTTTTTTGTTTGTTTGTTGTTTGCTTTTCTGTGGGGTTTTTGTTGTTGTTGTTTGCTTTTAAAAAAAAAATTCCCTTTCCCTGCTTTTTTGTCACAGCAGCCTTTGTCACTTCAAACACCGCAAGTGTTCTTTTAAAAAAATTATATCAACCTTTCAATTCAAATGCAACATG
Source organism: Homo sapiens (assembly GCF_000001405.40). Classification (NCBI taxonomy): domain Eukaryota; kingdom Metazoa; phylum Chordata; class Mammalia; order Primates; family Hominidae; genus Homo; species Homo sapiens. The sequence continues at coordinate 59,110 of NT_187539.1, read as the reverse complement.
TCTGAAACTTGGTATCTGGAGAGGTGAGTTGGACAAAGGAGCCCTTGTTACTGCACGTTTTCATTCTTCAAATTTCACCTTGCACGCAGTAACAGACAGTGCACAAAGCCACTTCCTTATGGACGGAAATTCTGAAATCCTTTTATGCCTGGCCTTTCCATCCTTCAACTTCCCCTCTCCCACGCTGTGAATGATTGTATTGGACATTTTTGTTTTAATGTCAGTGACAGGGGAACACAGGTAGCTCTAATATAGCTGTGACCCAGATGCTTCTGTTTCTAGCATGTATTTATTTTGTAGCAAACATTTACATCCATGATGTTTCACTGTCTTTTGAAAATAATTAGGCAATATCTCATCTGAGGTAGGATGTTTCTAGGGGTTGTGTTCTGAGGGAGGAAAACTAATCTGTTCTCTTTCCACTGCATTCTAGGAACAGTAAGAGGACCTTGTGCATGAATAATTTGTTTCCACACTACAGAGTGGGTAATAAGCAGATTAGTAAAAACAATTCTGCTTCACTTCAATAACAGCCTCCTCCAACTCATTTTTTCTCAACAAACTTATTTTTCCAGCAGAAGAATCCCAGACTTCTTAGAGAACCCAGTGACTTTTTGCAACTTAAATCTGTGAAATCCTTATGTTTTCTTCTGCCGTATCCATAGTTCAAACAAAGATGAGGCAAAGCTAGACGCATTCCTGAAGGAACCCAAGAAATTCCTCTCTTTCTTTCTCTGGAATGAAATGAATTCTCTAGACCACCAGTTCTAACCTTCAAAAACCAAACCTGTTTGTGAGATCTCCTTCAAATACTACTGTAGACCCCAGTGTTTATTCATTAAATTTTTTAAATATTTGTTTTATTTGGAATCCATGTATTTGTAATTTTAGTGTTTGTATTAATATCAGGGAGAAATGTTTAAATCTGTCTTATGCCATATGTGCCTCTGGCTTATTGCCCAATTAATTGTAGTCTCAGGCTAAACTTTGGTTTCTGTCTTTAATTTTTGTCAGAAGAAATATAACTGATCTCAAAACATCTGCTTTTATTGTAGGGGCTTGTGCTGCCGTCTCCATTCTTCTCTCTTTTCTTGCAATCTGGGTGGAAGTTCTTTAATATGAACATTTCAACCACCTTCATTCTACCATGTCCACTATCAGCACATTCAAACTGATCCAGCCAAGGCTGTCATCTTAGGCCAGGGATTTTTTAGGAATCTATTTTGCTGTGATGCGGCTGGCACCCCTTTGACTCACTGTATCACCCCAGGGTTCTTTTCATTTCAGAAGCCCAAGAGGGCAGAAAAAGAAGTAGGTGAGCAATTAAACACTCTGAGTCAGGAGCGTCTCCCCTTGCGTTAAGCAATGTTGTAGAACATCGATGTTCTACATCGATGTTGGCGACCTTGGTACCATTTTGTCCACTTGATTGGAAAAGCCAGTCAATAATTTCAGGTCACTGTTGGCCTTAGAAGAAGAGCCCAAAGGCAACAAGCAAAGGCGCTGGTGTCCAGTCGCCTTCTAGAAGCATTTTCACTTTCCCTTAAGGTTTCCCTTGATGAACATAGAAGTACTGTATGTAGAATTGACCCAGTGCTGCCCTGGCAACTTTGTATATTAGGCCAAATTTACATTTCTTACCTTTATGAGAGGCACCCTGGTAGGCTAGTGGAGTTACACACAAAGTCTGATCTCAGCTGCACTGTCCAGAAATGCAACACGGTCCAATCAAATAACATTCTCTGAGCCTGTTTCTTTAGCTGTGAAAGAAGAATAACATACCCATCTAAAAAGGCAGCTTATTGTATTTGATTGGTCTTTTATTTTCTATGAAACTGTGTTTAACACAGTAATTATTTTCATTTGTGTACTACATTTGTGTTGTGTTTTTGGTTTTAGTTTTGTTTTTGAAATGGAGTCTTTTTTTTAGTGGTTTTTTGTTTTGTTTTGTTTTGTTTTGTTTTTGAGATGGAGTCTTTCTATTGTCACCCAGGCTAGAGTGCAGTGGCATGATCTCCGCTCACTGCAACCTCCACCTCCCAGGTTCAAGTGGTTCTCCTGCCTCAGCCTCCTGAGAAGCTGGGATTACAGGTGCCCACCACCATGCCCAGCTAATTTTTAAAATATATTTTTAGTAGAGATGGGGTTACAACATGTTGCCCGGGCTGGTCTCAAACTACTGACGTCAAGTGATCCACCTGCCTTGGCTTCCCAAAGTGCTGGGATTATAGGCATGAGCCACCGCGCCTGGCTTGTTTTAAAATAAGGGTTTCTTGGCTAGGCATGGTGGCTCACACCTGTAATCCCAGCACTTTGGGAGGCCAAGGTCAGTGGATCACCTGAGGTCAGGAGTTCGAGACCAGCCTGACCAATATGGAGAAACCCTGTCTCAACTGAAAATACAAAATTAGCCAGGCGTGGTGGTGCATGCCTGTAATCCCAGCTACTCAGGAGGCTGAGGAAGGAGAATTGCTTGAACCCAGGGGGCAGAGATTGCAGTGAGCTGAGATCGCACCATTGCACTCCAGCCTGGGCAACGAGCAAAACTCTGTCTCAAAATAAAAAAAAGATTTCTTAAAATGATATTTTCAGTATTTTATAGATGATGTGTAAGCAGCAAGCTTAATAGGATGTTACCCGACACTTTGCGAGACTGGCAGCTGATTTGATCCAGATGTCTCTAATTCTTTTTTCTTTTTCTTTTTCTGTTTTTTTTTTTTTGACAGAGCCTTGCTCCGTCCCCCATGCTGGAGTGCAGTGGCACGATCTCGGCTCACTGCAACCTCCACCTCCTGGGTTCAAGCGATTCTCCTGCCTCAGGCTCCCGAGTAGCTGGGATTACAGGCGCGCGCCACCATGCCCAGCTAATTTTTTGTATTTTTGGTAGAGACAGCATTTCACCATGTTGGCCAGGCTGGTCTCGAACTCCTGACCTTAGGTGATCTGCCTGCCTCGGCTTCCCAAAGTGTTAGGATTACAGGCGTCAGCCACTGTGCCTGGCCCAGATGTCTCTAATTCTAACATGAGATGTATTGCAGGATCATAGCAGAGTGAGTTGCTGATGTATCCAGAAGGAAACGAGCATGGAACACTCACGACAGCTGTCCTGAGAAGTGTGTGTGTGCTGTGCTTGAATATCTCACTGCTCATTTATACACAGGCTTTCTGGTGACTGAGTTAACAGTATCTGTTTCATAAATAATGTAGCCCTCTTTCTTTCTTTCTCTCTCTCTCTTTTTTTTTTTTTTTTTTTTTTTTTTTTTTTGAGACAGGGTCTTGCTCTACTACCCAGGCTGGAGTGCAATGGTGCAGTCTCAGCTCACCGCAACTTCACCATGCCTGGCTAATTTTTTCTTTTTTTTTTTTTTGAGACGGAGTTTCGCTGTTTTTGCCCAGGCTGGAGTGCAATGGCACAATCTCGGCTCACCACAATCTTTGCCTTTTGGGTTCAAGGGATTCTCCTGCCTCAGCCTCCCGAGTAGCTGGGATTACAGGCATGTGCCACCACACCCGGCTAATGTTGTAGTTTTAGTAGAGACGGGGTTTCCCTATGTTGGTTAGGCTGGTCTCAAACTCCTGACCTCAGGTGATCTACCCGCCTCGGCCTCTCAAAGTGCTGGGATCACAGGCATGAGCCATCACTCCTGGCCTAATTTTTGTATTTTTAGTAGAGAGAGGGTTTCACTCTGTTGGCCAGGCTGGTCTCGAATTCCTGACCTCAAGTTATCTGCCTGCCTCGGCCTCCCAAACTGTTGGAATTACAGGCGTGAACCACCATGCCTGGCCAGCTCTATTTCTTTAAGCCTACATGTTTTGCACTTGTTAAAAGTATTTGAACATACAATTACTCAGCTTCCCTTGTTTACGCGTGAATTTTGTAGAATCTTAAATATTTTTTCCAATCTAAGCTTTATTTTATCCCGTTTCTTCTATATTTGTATAACTTTAGGTGGCTATCTTCATTGAAAGTTTTTTCTCAAAAGCCTTAAGATAGAACATAGTTCTTGGCAGCAATTTGAAAGTTATTTGAGGAGAAGGGGAGACTTACAATGATGATTCAAATGAAGGAAACTAAAAAGTAATGAAGCAAGGCAGAGGAAAAAGCAGTACTCACTTGAGCACATCCCAAAAGAATAACATTTCAAATGTAACTAGAAAAAAGTATGCTGAAGTTCGCAATACAGAAATAATTATTAATAAGATAGCTTTAAAGCCCTGCTCAGCTTTTGAATGTTGGGAATTGACCCAGAGGTGGCTGTAACCTAAGATGGTTCCTTCAGTAATGACCATTTTTTCTTTTTCAAGATGATGATTATTCCCCACCTTCTAAGAGACAAAGACCAACGAGCCACCACAGCCACCAGTCCCAGAACCCGCCAATGCTGGGGAACGGAAAATGAGGGAGTTCAACTCTGGTAAGTTCTCAGCGAAATCCATGACCTTTTCCTTTATCTTCTGGACTCTCAGTGTGACTGATGAAAGTTACCACATGCTCTGCAGGGGGAAATGGTTTAGCATGTGTTACTACATCTTAATCACATCTTTGTAAAGCCAGGAGCATTTTACAAGTCACGTTACAGACATTGTTTAAACATAGTCTGTATTTACCAAAGTATAGGACATTGTATCATCTCATATTAATTAGTTAGTTGGCTCAAAATTAGTGCTAATGACTTAGTAATTCAGTGATTTCTGTTAGCTTTAAAACCTTTATTTCAGAACTATTTCACCTCTTGGTTTTCATTTTTGTGGTGTGTCACTGCCTGCCGGCTGCTAATTGATTAACTCCCAGTGAATCATGTCCTGTGAAGGGACTGAATATTAGTGGCAATTTATGTTGATGATTTGTATTTTGAATAAATAGTTTGAATACATAGAACATTAAGCTTGTATACATTTTGAAAATAGTATTTTAATATTCTACTGTGTCATAGTTACAATGATTGGATATATGTTGAATTTATATGTACTTTAAGTTGTTCTATGTTTATGGTCTTTAGCATTCTAACGTGCAATTGTATATCTGTTAAGTCTTTTTTTTTTCGAGATTAGACTGATTTATTGAGGCGTCTGTTTGATGCCACATTAAGTGGCCCAGGCTTTGTGTAGGGTTGAGGTTAAAGCAGGAAGAAGGGTGGTGAGAGGCGGGGCACCAGGGTTAGGTTGGAATACCTGGGGGTGCTCTGAGGCTCCCCAAGTTTCCCTGGTCTTGGCCGGCTGTGCTGCTGGCCTGGGCATCTGATGGGCCTGCAAGGGTGGTCCAGGGGCTAGGGCAGGGACTTTGGAGTGACGCCATTGGCTTTGAATCCAGACTCCTACACTTGGTAGCTGTGAACTCTCCATGCCTCAGGGACCTGCAGAACTGAGCTCTGTCTGAGCCAGGTTCCATCCAGGCACTGCGCATCCATCCAGAGGGGCACTGCCTCAGGCTGCTCGCTGTTCACTGCCTTCTCAAGCTGACCCTTGTCTGCTTCTAGGCCCTCACAATCCAGTGGAGGAGACGAAACTCATCTGCCTCTGTCCCTCTGGGCACGCCTCATGCCAGGTGCATCTGTGGACAGGGGCCATGCTCCTGGGCTTCCAAAGTTGGAGAAAGCTGCCAGGCTCAGGTGGGTACATCACAGCAGCTGCTGCCCTCTGAACACAGTGACAAAAGAACACTCTGGGCCTGGAGCCCTGGTCTGGGGCATTGGGCAAGGCTGTTGCACTTCTCTGATCCCATTTCCCCATCTGGAAAGTGCGCTGATTGTATCTCCCTGTGGGCACTGAGGGCTCAGTGTTAGTTTGAGAGCCAGCATCTGGGGTTTGGGCTGTAATTCCCCGTCAGCCCCATAGCTGCGGGGAACCAGGGACTTTGTTGGGATTACCCTAGGCATCAGTTTAGCTTCCTGCCCCTGGCTTGGGCTCAGCACCTGAAGTAGTCTAGGGGGTAGGTGGTGCTGGTGGGGGCTGGGGCTTTTACCCAGACTGAGGTCACACCCAGAGCCAGAAGTCTTGGTGCCTGCTCTGGGCAAAGGTGCCAGCCTGTGTGACAAGAGCGAAACTCCGTCTCCAAAACAAAAACAAAAAACCTTGCATCATTTCAAGGGGCTCACACCTCCCTAAGGGCCTGGTAATTGGCTGGCTCTGGCCTGCATCTGGCCCTGAGGGTGTAGGTAACACCCCACCTTACCTGGTTTCTTCCTGCCAGGGCCAATCTTCAGACCTCAGGACTTTACAGCCTATCCCACCTCCCCTCTGGCCAGCCTTGAGCCCTTGTGGGTCCAGCACTTTTTCCAGGCTGTCTCCTGGTTGTCCTTCTGCCTCGAGGCCTGGCTCATGCTGCTCCCCCTCCCACTCTCCAAGACCCACAAGGACCACTCCACACCCAGCTCAGCCCCATCCCCTCAGATAGTCCTTTCTCTTTCCTCAGGTGGCCAGGTGCATGTCTTGGTGTGAGGACCTTCGCTGTATCTGGGAATGCCTACTGGTTACCTTGGTAACAGAGAACAAGGCATTTACCTGATATGAGTGTCGTGGTTCACTGTCTACATGGCTAGGGAGGGAATCAATAATAGGCTTTTCACTTGCTGCAAGGGCCGGTTCTCCTGGCCCCATGGCTCTAGGGATGGAGGACGCTGCAGGAGATGCAGCGCTCACTTCCTAGCTGAGGACTGTGGGTCATCTCAGGGCGATTTCACAGTCCCCACATGCCCCACCCCCTCAGCTCTGCAAATACCAAGCAGTGCAGCCTGCCTAGGGGATGATGGGCTCGAGAGTGCCCAGGTAGTGCCCAGAGTGCCCTTGGCAGGCCCCTCACCTGGCTGCTTCCACAGCTCTGTAGCAAGAGTTCTAACCTTTTTTCACCGTGAAGCCTGCTGAGAATAAGAGCTGTGGACTGTTTTCCCAGAAAGGCATGTACATGCTCTCCACACAAAACCTTTCATCGTGGCCAAGCACAGTGGCTGATGTGATCCCAGAACTTTGGGAGGCGGAGCCAGTCGGATCACCTGAGGTCAGGAGTTCAAGACCAGCCTGCCCAACATGGCGAAACCCTGTCTCTACTAAAAATACAAAAAATTAGCCAGGCGTGGTGGCAGCCACCTGTAATCCCAGCTACTCCAGAGGCTGAGGCAGGAGAATCACTTGAACCTGGGAGGCGCAGGTTGTAGTGTGGTGAGATCACACCACTGCACTCCAGCCTGGGCGACAGGAGCGAAACTCTGTCTCAAAAAACAAAACAAAACAAAACCTTGCATCCTTTCAGGGGGCTCACACCTCCCTAAGGGCCCAGTAATTAAACCCTTTGGGCCTGAGGGTGAGAAACTTTGTCTCAGTTCTTCCCCAAGTGATCAGCCCAGGGGTAAGGAAGGAGAAGCCAGAAAGCAGGACCCATGAGAAGGGCCCCCTCCTGGAGTTTGAGGCCCACTCCCTCCTGCCCCTGCCTCTCCTCTGTGCAGGACTCCTCCCTGCTCTGCCCCACTCCTGGGGCCATAACCATGGGGAGCTGTGGTTTTCTACAGGCCCCTGGGCACAAAGTGGGCAGGCTCACCTGGAGGCGATCAGAGTAACATGGCAGGAAGTGAGGGGGAAAGCCGCCCTGGAACTGCGCCTCTCTGCCCCCTGACGTCACTGGCGTGCACTCCTCCCTCCCCTCAGGCAGTGGCATGAGTTCCATGTGAGCGCTGTCCTGCTCCCTCTGCTGCCTCTTTTTTTTCTTGGGGCTGCCATAACACTTTCCCTTCCCCAGCCCTGCCAACCTGGTGGGACATTGGGCTTCCCTCTCACAGGGTCCTGGGGACAGGCCCATCCTTTATCATACCCACAGAGAGACCGTTTTTTTCTTCAGAACCTGGGGAGCAGCCAGGTTCCATGAGTTAAATGCAGATCTGAACCAAGCTGGGATTGGGGTACACACTCTCCTCTACTGAAAAGTAGCTAGGGATTCCAACTAGGTGAGAAGGAGAGTGGGGCAGAGCCAGACCAGACAAGGACTGATCACCTGGAAAAAGCCTGCCATCAAAGGTCTTGGCAAATGCTGGGTGCAGTGGCTCACTCCTGTAATACCAGCACTTTGCGGGGCTGAGACAGGTGGACTACTTGAGGCAAGGAGTTCGAGTCCAGCCTGGGCAACATGGCAAAACCGCATCTCTACTAGAAATACAAAAATTAGCTAGGCATGCTACACTCCTGTCATCCCAGCTACTCAGGAGACTGAGGCAGGAGAATCACTTGAACTGGGGAGGCAGAGGTCGAAGTGAGCCGAGATTGTGCCCCTGCACTCCAGTCTGGGAGACAGAGTGAAACTGGCCTCAAAAAAAAAAAGAATATGGCCTTGGCAGAGAGGGGCCAGCCCAGTAGTGCCTTCCCTTGGGTTTCTCCTGGGTAGGCCTCTGCCATGAGGAGGTGCTTCCTTCTGCCTGTCCATGGCCCACAGCAATGGAATGTCTGTTTCTGGGGGTTGGGTGGGAGAGTGCTGGCAGAACTGGAAACCTTCAGGTGGGGTTTTTTTGTTTTGTTTTGTTTTCGAGATGGAGCGTCGCTCTGTCACCCAGGCTGGAGTGCAGTGGTGGAATCTCAGTTCACTGCAACCTCTGCCCCCCTGGGTTCAAACAATTCTCCTGTCTCAGCCTCCTGAGTAGCTGAGATTACAGGCATGTGCCACCATGCCCGGCTAGTTTTTGTATTTTTTGTATAGATGGCATTTCACCATGTTGGCTGGGCTGGTCTCGAACTCCTGACCTCAAGTGATCCACCCATGTCGGCCTCCCAAAGTGCTGGGATTACAGGCATGAGCCACTGAGCCCAGCCCCTTCAGGGGGGTTTTGAGGCTTCACTACAATACTAGTTTCCTGTGGCTGCTGCAACAAATTACCACACACTTAGTGACTTAAAACAACCAAAATGTATTCCCTTACAGGTCTGAAGGCCAGAATTCTACAGTAAGTCCTACTGAGTCAAGGTGGGAGCAGGGTCGGTAGCTTCCGAGGCTCTGCGGGAGAATCCGTTTCCTGGCCGTAGAGGTGGCCTGCACTCCTCAGCTTGTGCTGCCCGTCTCGAATGACTGGAGTTTCCTGCTTCTGTCACTACACCTCCCACCCTCTCCATCACCTGCTCTGCTCTTACAAGGATCCGAGTGAGTACATCAACCCCAAAAGCCAAAGACCCTTAACTTCATTATATCTGCAAAGCTCCTTTTGCCATATAAGGTCATGTTCACCAGTTCCCGGGATTAGGATATGGGCATCTTGGGGGCATCAGCCTGCTACAGCTAGGCTGCAAAACTGTTACACCCTCCTGGTGTTTCAATGATTGGGAGAAAAAGGGTTGGCATTTTTTGCTTGGGGGTCCCTCTTAAACTTGTATCTGTAAGGTCGGGGGTCCCTCTTAACCTTGTGTTTTTGTTTTTGTTTTTTTTTGAGGTGGAGTCTTGCTCTGTCATCCAGGCTGGCAGTGGCGTGATCTTGGCTCACTGCAATGTCTGCCTCCTGGGTTCAGGTGATTCTCCTGCCTCAGCCTCCTGAGTAGCTGGGACTACAGGCGCCCGCCACCATGCCCTGCTGTTTTGTATTTTTGGTAGGGACGGGGTGGGGGTGGGGCTAGGGAGGGGGGTTTTGGCTATGTTGCCCTGAGCTCAAAGTGATCCGCCTGCCTCTGCTGCCAAAGTGCTGGGATTACAGGCCTGCACCACTGCACCCGGCTGCTGTAAAGTCTTATTTCACACAGCTGAGACATGTTTTAGGAAGTTTGCTAAAAGACCCCTGGAGACCGCCTCATTGTGACCTCCCTGTTATTGTGTTTAATTTGATTGAACTTTTCTGCCCTCCTGCTTTTCAGCTTCTCTAATAGTCTCCCATTAAACCAATTCTAAGAACCACCAAGAAGGGGAAATTTTTTCTTGAAAGCAGTAAAATGATATGGACTGTTAGAATGTAAAATATATGAAATCAGTCATTATACGTTAGTGCTGCTCTGACATAGGGACGTGTTATTGAGAAGCAACTTTTGCTTGGTTTTCAGAGAAATGGAATCATCGTATCGCTGATCTACGTAAACAAACTGAAGAATTGTCTGAAAGAAAATATGGTATGTCTAAACTGGAAAAGTCTTGTAATCTTATGTTCATGGGCGTTTACACAGTGGAGTTACTGTTCATCATGGGGGTACCGTGGACAAGCCCAGGGCTGCCGGCGAGTCATGCCATCCTTACATGTTTCTCCTTGTAAGGTGCTTTGTAGTGTCTACACACTTTGTTTCTAGATTGCTGCAAAGCTGAGGAAAAGTTGTATTTCTTTAGTTATTAGTTAGCATTTCTTTTAAACTTTCAGTATGGAGATTGGAAATTTATTTACATATTTATTGCAAAGCCCTGGATCTTAGGAATTTCATTGAATTATTTATTTATTTTTTTTGAGACGGAGCCTCACTCTGTCACCCAGGCTGGAGTGCAGTGGCACGATCTCGGCTCACTGCAACCTCCGCCTCCCGGGTTCAAGCAGTTCTCTGCCTCAGCCTCCCGAGCAGCTAGGATTACAGGCACCAGCCACCACGCCTGGCTGATTTTTGTATTTTTAGTAGAGACGGGGTTTCATGATCTTGGCTAGGCTGGTCTTGAACTGCTGACCTCCTGATCCACTCACCTCAGCCTCCCAAAGTGCTGGGATTATAGGTGTGAGCCACCATGCCTGGCCAAATATTATTTTTTTAAATGAATTGTTTCTCTTAGTCTGCTTTGTTAAATTTGGAATTCATCTGGGCGCGGTGGCTCACACCTGTAATCCCAGCACTTTGGGAGGCCAAGGCAGGCAGATATCTAGGTCGGGAGTTCGAGACCAGCCTGACCAACATGGAGAAACCCCGTCTCTACTAAAAATACAAAATTAGACGGGTGTGGTGGCGCATGTCTGTAATCCCAGCTATTCGGGAGGCCAAGGCAGGAGAATCGCTTGAACCCAGGAGGCAGAGGTTGCAGTGAGGCGAGGTTGGCACCATTGCACTGTAGCCTGGGCAAAAAGAGCAAAACTCCATCTCAAAATAAATAAATAAATAAAATGTTCAGTACTCACCAAGGTGCCCCTGTTGTCTCTACTTTTATCTTGATGCATCACTGAATTGATGTTAGATTTCAAATTCATCATTGCCCTGATACTATTCTATCCTGAAGCCACCTTTATATAGTGATGAAAGAAATTAGCGATTTGTTATTATCCTCTCTCTGTTGGTATACATCAAATACTCACCTAAAAAAGAGCAACAACCAGTGGAAAACATGATGTTTTTATTTGGGTGACTATTTACTTGTAACCTACTAGCAAACTATAAAATTGTATGATATGCAGAATTTTAACTGAATTGCTTTAAGTGAACATTTAAGCATGATAAACAATATTGATGGTATTTATGTTAATATACTTAAAATGAACATTTTTCTTCATCATGAGTAATATAACCTACTCCTCAATGAAAACCTAGCACTAAATTTGCTAATGAATTCAATAACATTTCCATAATATTTTTAGTTACATGCTTAAGGTTCTCTTAGTGTTTCTCCCACTTTTTAATAGCTTATGCCTTTTTCACCTTTGGTTTTTTTTTGGTTCATTTTAAAGCAAAAATCTCACAACATGTGATATCTGGAAACACTGTAACCTAGTGGTAAGACCATAGGCCCTGGGGACACAGGCTGGCCACGTCTCTTCTCCTGTCTGAGCTTTAGTATCCTCTTTTGTGGTCATGAGAACTGAAGATCTGTCCCGAAGATTTGATAAGATAGTAAAGTGCTTCACATAATACCAGACATATAAATACACAGTAAATGCTTCCTCCTTATATTTTTATTGATTGATTGATGGAGACAGAATCTTGCTCTCTTGCCCAGGCTGGAATGCAGTGGCGTGATAATGGTTTCTGCAACCTCCACCTCCTGGGTTCAGGCAATTCTCCTGCCTCAGCCTCCCGAGTAGCTGGGATTACAGGTGCCTGCCACCATGCCCAGCTAATTATTGTACTTTTAGTACAGACGGGGTTTTACCATGTTGGCCAGGCTGGTCTCGAACTCCTGACCTCATGATCTGCCTGCCTCGGCCTCCCAAACTGCTGGGATTACAGGTGTGAGCCACTGTGCCCAGCCTGTCTTTTCTCTTCACACCCGCAGTTCATGATGAAATATTAAATATGTACTAGTGGATATTACTTTGCTGAATATTGCCTAATGAATATTAAGTATTTATTCTCACCTTTCAGACATGAACTTATGAATTCAACAGGTGAAGATTTACAACTTGATAAATCAACTTTGTCAGGTACGTCTTCAGTCAAGTCAGATTAGAAGATTATGTGAGGTAATTAACACTTAACATTGATTTAATGGTAGCTTCCACATGAAATAGTATGCCTCTAAGTATTAATTATGTCCTAGGACAGGAGAATTCATGTTGTCAAAATTCTCATACTCTCTAGAACAATAAACTCATTTTCTTTTTATTAGTAAATATTGCATTTATGGGTAGACAAAACTGAAAGAACAATATTTGTTCTACTTTTGAGATGCAAGATTCATCTGGTATAATGCATTGAACAGGTTATTATTGAAGTCTACACCAGTCAACTGAATAAGCATTCATCAAATGTCCATGATATGCAGGACATAAGTTTTCTTTTAGAGTATGGAACCATGCATATTATCTTTTAATTAGATGATTTAGTTAGATATGTTTTTAAAGAACTAGAAATATAATTGATTTTCTTGTTTTGGCTCTGGAGTGGAGTGGGGACGAAACAGAATGGATTCACACTTGTTTAGATTTACTAAAATGGAAAGATTGCAGCAAGATCATATCCCTAGTCTCCCTACTCCCTATAGCAAATGTCACCTGCTAGCTGTTTTTTTTTTTTTTTTTTTTTTTTTTTTTTGGAGGTTGAAGTTTTGTTCTGTCACCCACGCTGGAGTGCAGTGGTATGATCTCAGCTCATGGCAAGCTCACCTCCTGGGTTCAAGCAATTCTCCCTGCCTCAGCCTCCTAAGTAGCTGGGATTACAGGCCTCTGCCACCACGCCTGCCTAATTTTTGTATTTGTAGTAGAGTTGGGGTTTCACCATGTTGGCCAGGCTGGCCTTGAACTCCTGACTTCAGGAGATTCACCCGCCTCAGCCTCCCAAAGTGCTTGGGATTATGGGTGTGTCACTGCACTTGGATTTAATGGGATATTTCACTACAGACTTCGGTAAACAGAATATTAGCATTTTTGGTGTTCTTTTTATTTTACTCATACTGTTTTTCTTTGGACTCAATCACAATAACAGAATTAAAGATCAAAGTGTAAAAGTTAAAGACCAGTACAGATTCAATAATTATTCTTTTCTACATACCGTGTTTAAATGATATCCCTTTTTCTTTTTGTTCTTATAGCTCGAGCTGTAAAAGCCAAAGGTCCGGTGATGATCCCATACCCTTTTTTCCAGTCTCATGTTGAAGATTTTTATGTAGAAGGCCTTCCCAAAGGAATTTTTTTTTTTTTTTTTTTTTTTGAGATGGAGTTTTCACTCTTATCGCCCAGGCTGGGGTGCAATGGCGCAACCTTGCTGGTCACTGCAACCTCTGCCTCCTGGGTTCAAGAAATTCTCCTGCCTTAGCCTCCCAAGTCACTGGGATTACAGGTGCCCACCACCACACCAGGCTAATTTTTGTATTTTTAGTGGAGATGCGGTTTCACCATGTTGGCTGGGCCAGTCTCGAACTCCTGACGTCAAGTGATCTTCCCGCCTCGACTCCTGATATCAAGTGATCTTCCCGCCTCGGCCTCCCAGAGTGCTGAGATTACAGACGTGAACCCATGCCTGGCCAGGAATTTTGTTTTTTAGGAAGGCTTTCTACTAATGGAATTCCTGGCCTTGAGAGGATGTTACTTTAGAAGGAAAGGATTTTTTTGTTATTAAAAGGTAAGATTCCTGGATTCTTATTGGACTGTTCAATCTCTGTTATGAGTAATCCATCTTTAGTCATTCACCACTAGGGTTGTATTTAATTAAGTCTGAGTTATTTTATGGTGGTTTTGTTTTGTTTTGTTTTGTTTTGTTTTTACCGAATTTTGTTCTCATTGCCGTGGCTTGAGGGCAATGACGTGATCTCAGGTCACCACATTCTCTGCCTTCCAGGTTCAAGCAATTCTCCTGCCTCAGCTTCCTTAGTAGCTGGATTTACAGGCATGCGCCACCATGCTTGGCTAATTTTTTGTATTTTTAGTAGAGATGGTGTTTCACCATGTTGACCAGGCTGGTCTAGAACTCCTGACCTTGGGTGATCCACCCGCCTCGGCCTCCCAAAGTGCTGGGATTACAGGCATGAGCCACTGCGCCCAGCCTGGGCCTGCTTCTTTCTCTTTTTCTTTTTTTTTCATTAGCAGCTTAAAATTGGTGCCTTATTCAGACACAAGCAAAAGGACATTAGCCCAGCTTTGGAAATAGGTGAGAGCCCATATATGATTTTCCTAGTTTCTCCTCCCCCTTTGCTTTTTGCTCTCTTGTTAGTATATTAATTGTTTTCACTCTCTGAATCTTTTTTCCCCATTTCTTTGGCAGTCATTTTTACTTGTCTTGGAAGAGTAGGTGAAGAGCTGTTTTTAGGACTCTTTGAAAGGGTACAGTATGGGTGTCAGTCTTGGCTAATGGTAACATCCAGGGAGCTGGGGTCAGCGTGAGCTGGAATCAGTTCAAATTAGCAAAGCACTGGCACTCAGTGGCAGGAATACAAGTGACTGCAAAGTGTTAAACACATCTGGAAAGGGATACTGACATCATCCTCAGAATCTGTGGGGAGTTCACATAGCCAGTTAGGACCCATTCTTCTTTGACCCTATAAAGATTCTTTAAAGAATAAATACCCTTAGTGGTTTTCTAGCCAGCTTGCCTGCTCATTTATCTTTGAGGACGACATGCCTTGTGGAGCTCCACAGGCCCCAGAGGGGTATGGATTCTGCATTTAAAAGTGCTGAAGCTGAGAGACTGGGTCTTGGTGGACCCCGAGAGGTCTGTTTCTCCTCTACTCATTGTTCCTTTTTTTCCCAACAGCTGGCATTGCTGTTTAAATGGGTTGTTCTTTGCTGTTTTAAGTTGTTTCATAGTGGTGTGTCAGGATTTGGGTTTTCTTAATACTTTCCAAGCTGGTGACTTGAGTGGTGGTTAGGGAGGAAATGTTTTAGGGCTGTTCTGGAGCTATTGAGGTCAGGTGTCTAGATACTCCCAGCTTGTCTGTTGAGGAGAATGCTGTTCTCATTGTGCTGCCTTTGGTGGTGCTGTGTGTGGCTCTTTAGATGTGCGTGGAGGTGAGCTGGGGGAGTTAATGAGATCTTTTTTAGGTGCTTTTGATAAAGTAGCCTGCACTACAGGATTCACTGTGACTTTTTTCCTTAACCTATGCATTTCTCTCTGCTAGCTTTTGCTGTCTTTCTCATGCCTTTGATTTTCCCAGCTCCTCTTAGTTGAATTAACCTAAGTGCTCTGCTATGGTTTAAATGTGTCCCCCAAAGTTTATGTGCTGGAAACTCAATCCTCAATGCAACAGTTGGGATGTGGGGCCTAATAAAATAGCCTTCATGAATGAGTTAATGTTGTTATTGTGGTAATAGATTAGTAATCACAGAGTGGGCTTATTATAAAACAGAGTTCAGCCCCTTTTGCCCTCTTGCTTTCTTGCACTCTCTTTTCCTTCTGCCTTCTGTAGTGGGATGATGCAGCAAGAAGACCCTTACCAGATGCAGGCCCCTCAACCTTGGACTTCCTAACATCCAGAACTGTTAAGAAATAAAATTTATTCCTTTCCTTTCCTTTTCTTCCTCCTTTCCCTTCTCTTCCCTTTTCTTCCCTTCCCCTCCCTCCCTCTCTCTCTCCCTCCCTCCCTCCTTCCCTCCCTTCCTCCTTCCCTCTTTCTCTCTTTCCCTTCCTTCCTTTCCTTCTTTCCCTTCCTTCCTTTCCTTCCCTCCTTCCCTTTTTCCCTCCTTCCCTCCTCCCTTCCTTTTTTCTTTCCTTCCTTTTTTCCTTTTTATAAATTATGCAGTCTGTGGTATTCTTTTATAGAAGCATGAAATGGACAAAGACTCCATTTTCAAGAGCAAGCACTTTTGTAGTTTCTGAGCGAACTATGACTGCAAAGGAAGTTCTATAGGTAGCCTCAGATCCACTACCTAGGAAGCATGCCACCAAGCAGACCTAGGATCTAGGATTTGATCAAGTGCTGGGCAACATGATACCTCTGCAATTTAGCACTTCCCTATATACCTCCAGTTGGCTCAGCCCATTAGGGCTAAAACTACCCCTCATATCCTAGTGTCTCTTGTAGGCAGAAGCCTTGCCTAAACCCTAAGCTGCTTGGCTCACATTCTGTCTTGTGCTTTTTTTGTAGGGGGTTCAAATATACACAAAAGAAATATGTTGAACCTCCATGCACCCAACCCGCAGATTAAGCAGTTACCTCCATTTTTCCAGATTTGTTTCATCTGCTTCAATCTCCCTAAAAATTTATGTTTGTACAGGAAAGACTGAATAAATAGCTAATTCTCCACCCTACCTCTCATCTTAAGTCACTTTTCAGAGTAGTAAGTTAGTGACCTAGTAACCTTCCCTCTAATGACCAGTAGTTTTTTTTTCTGAATACCATTATGAACTCATAGATTATTGTTTGCATTTGATGTATTTCAGGCCATTGCAGTCTTTATTGTTTTGGATGCTTACATTGTCTCATCTAGGTTAATAATTATCTCTTCAAGTTGACTTTCATGTCTTTTTGACGTGATCCTGTTGGACTTTGATGGCTTCCTTGCTTTCTGGCAAAACAGATGTTCCAGGATCAATATACTGCACCATACATGGAGTCAGCCATTTCTCTAGGGAACCTTGATTCCTTTTAGTAGAGAACACAGTTTGAGGTCTTGGACTGAATGACTTTTGTGAACCTCCTCTCCTGAGACTACAGCCTGCATCCCTGCATATAGCCCGTTTGGAGCTCTTGCTGGGCACCAACAGATCTCCTAAAACTGCTATATAGTTCTGCCTCACTCTTACAAAGATTCATCTCTTGAGAGTTTTGTGCTCTACCCCCAGATGTGGTCTTTCTGGTTATGAAGCTTTTGCTTCAGTCACCCTGAATTTTGCCAGCCCTATGCATGCTATACCTTGGATTGCCAACTTGCCCTCACTGAAGCCAGTTTCTCTGGTTAGAATAGTTGCCCAAACCCATGCCTAATACTCTAGTAAACAAGGTTCTACCTGGGCTTAGGTTAACTTTTGCTCCTTTGGGCCCTGTGTTCTACCAGCATTCCATTTATCTGAAACTCTCCCTCACCTTAAGAACTTATCTGTTCTTTAATGATTTACTGCTGCTTCCTGGGCTCGAAAGAACCCAGTTCAGGAGTTTCTGTTTTAGTTTGAGATCTTATAGGCCTGTCTCATCAGGTTGGTGTCAGCCCAGCTAGGATTAGGCAGAATTGGGTGGGGGCTGTAGTGCATTTTTGGCACAGCATGTACCTGTCTGACTAATTCTCTGTCTTTTCTTTCCTGTTGCAATTCATGGGTCTTAGCATCTTCTGAATGGTGTTTAGTAGGTCATCCTGTTGATTTCCTGCTAGGGAGTAGCATACTCTGGCCCTGTACCATTGGCCAAGGGACTTAAGGATAGATGAAGGGCTGCAGTTTTGTTAAATGGAACAATATGAAGAGATGGCATTGTTAAAAAAAAAAAAAAAAAGGCTTGGCAGCATGGCCCATTTGAATGGTTGGTCCTTGGCTCCTTTGTTGATATAGGCAGATCCTTGATGGGAATTTGGAATGATCCCAAATATTGTAGATCACTGGTACATCAAGTCATCCTCAAGGTTGTCTGTGTAACAGTCTTGAATGATATTTTGTCAGTCTTTGGAGAGTCTCTGTATAGGGTTTAATCATTTAGTTATTTCAGTTGAGCCTGTTTAGTTTCTTTGCAAGGAGATAAGAAATGTGAAAGAGATGCAGACATTAGGGAAAAAAAGTCAGGAGCCTTGTTTCCCCATCCTCTACTTGGGTTCTGGAACTAGACTCATAGGTGAGTAGTGAGGAGCTGGGCCCAAGCACATTAATCCTAGATCTAGCTCTGCTTTGCCCTCGCTCCAGTTCTTGTATCAAATTCACTTCAAGCCACCCAGAGTAGTATGTAGAGGAGTCATTCAGGACCATGCTCATACTTCATTGTATCAAATGGGAGATCCAGTAATTTATAGCCTATTGTTTCTGGAGCCTGGAGATGGCTCTGCATAAGATTTGCCGAAGCAAATTTTATTACATTAGAAGAGAACCTAGCTGGCTGCATCCTACACTGGAAGCTTTTAGATGCTAATAAGGAGGTCATGTAAAGGTCACAGAATGACTCTGGAATCCATTCCCCGCCAAGAAAGAATAATGACATTCTATGTTGGCCTCTTTTCATTTCCCTTTGGTTTTGAGTAATAAATTCTCTCCTCACTTCCCAGTCGAACTGTTTGGGAGTCTCTATTCCCTAGAAAGACTCTGGTCACATACCCATCAGATTAAATTAGGTGAAAACTCTTTGGCCTTCATGAATGTTGAAGGATTTCAAAGGGCTAATGGAAATTCTTCTAGAAGTAACTGCAACCTCCGCCTTCCGGGTTCAAGCGATTTTCCTGCCTCAGCCTCCCAAGTAGCTGGGATTACAGGTGTCCACCACCATGCCCAACTAATTTTTGTATTTTTAGTAGAGACGGGGTTTCACCATGTTGGCCAGGCTGATCTAGAACTTTTGACCTCAGGTGATCCGCCCGCCTCAGCCTCCCAAAGTGCTGGGATTACAGGCGTGATCCACCGCGCCCAGTTAAACTTCAGTTTTTCATGTTCCATGCATTGGTCAGGGTCTTAGGGAGTGATTCATTCTAGCAGAACTCCCTGGATTTTAAGGCAGATGTTCCATTTATTAATTGACAAAGGAGGCATATTTCTCCCCTGGTAACCCAAAGATTTAGGTCATTTTCCCAGAGACTCCATTTCCACTGTGAGGGTTCTTGGAAAACTAAGCAGAGGATGAGGAAAAGTCTGTGAACAAGCTTGCTGGTCTCTCCCTGTCCTACAAAAGAGCATACCTCTTCTGTAACCAGAAGGCCCTTTTGATTAGTCAAGGCTGGACAGAGTGAGATTGGGTGTGTGTGTGTGTGTGTGTGTTTGTGTGTGTCTTGAGACAGGGTCTCACTCTGTCACCAAGGCTAGAGTGCAGTGGTGAGATCAGAGCTCACTGCAGCTTCCACTTCCTGGGCTCAAGCGATCCTCCTATTTCAGCCTCCAGAGTAGCTGGGACTATACGAATGTTTTACCGCACCCAGTTCATTTTCTAATTTTTTGTAGAGATGAGGTTTCACTGTGTTGCTCAGGCTGGTCTTGAACTCCTGGCCTCACGGAATCCTCCTGCCTTAGTCTCCCAGTGGGCTGGGATTATAGGTATGAGCCACCTCACCTGACCTGCGACGATTTTTCAATGATGTAATTTCTCTTTTACAGAGCCACCTAAGCTGAAGATTCCCTTGAGAACAAGTACTGTCCCTAGTTTCCCAGTGCTGGAATATAGAAAATGGATGGACAAGTAAATCCCACTCAGCACCCATAGTCCAGGCATGGGGACCTCAACACACCTGAGCCCCAGACATCACCTTTCATTGTGAGTAGCTCTGAGATGACACTTCTGCTGTTCCCAATTCCAGCATTAATTGGATTAGATAGTTATTTTATGAAGAATTTTCATATGCCACAATCCTGACCATATCTTCAAGTGAACAGAAAAATTCTATTAAAAAGTCAACCTTCTGTCTCACTCTGTTGCCCAGACTGGAGTGCAGTGGTGCAATTATGGCTCACTGCAGCCTCAACCTCCTGGGCTCAAGCAATCCTCCTGCCTCAGCCTCACAAGTAGCTGGGACTACAGGTGCTTGTCACCACACCTCACTAATTTTCCCATTTGTGTTATATGTGGATTCCACAGGACTGACTTCGAAAACTTGAGTATGCGTGGATTTTGGTATACACAGAAATGGGAGAGCTGGAACTAATCCCCCCATATACCAAGGGACAAATTGTATCTGTTTCTACAATTATACAGTAGGAGACATTATGTTCCATGACAATGGTAATTTTTAACGACAGTTTTTAATTGAGTGAAATTACCATAAAAATAATAATAGTAGCAGCTAATATTTACTGAGCTGTTACTAGGTGCCTATAAATAGCATAGATTTTTAAATTCTCCATAATTCTTCCTTATTTCACTTAACCACTCTATCTTAAATTACTCATGCTTGCCTCAGTAGCACACATACTTAAGTTGGAACAATAGAGAGATTGGCACGGCCTCTGTGAAAGAATGACATGCAAATTTGTGAAGCATTCCATATTTTTTTAAAAAAAGAGAAAAAAATTACTCCCAGATTTTCACTGTGTTTGTGCATATGACCTTTTGTTTAGGTTGAATTATATCCAAAGGTGAAATTTCCAGAAGTGAGATTACTGTGAGTCACAGGGCATGAGCATTCTTATTACCCTCGATGTAAATTGCAAAGCTTTCAGGCATGGTGGCTGTCAGCCTGTAATTCCAGCACTTTGGGAGGCTGAGGTGGGAGGATTGCTTGAGGCCAGGAGTTGGAGGAGGCAGTATAATGAGTCACTGTCTGTATGATTTAAAAAAAATTTCCAAGCTTTATGCTGGAAGGCTTATATACATTTTAAACACCACTAATACTACAAGAAAATGGCCATTTCACTGCACCTTCGCCCACACAGGTATTATAATTTAACAAGTTATTTTCTGTGTGATAAATGAAAGACCTCCTATTATTACTTTGTCACCCATTCTTTTTTCTTTTTTGAGACACAGTCTCGCTCTGTCGACCAGGCTGGAGTGCAGTGGTGTGATCTCGGCTCACTGCAACCTGTGCCTCCCAGGTTCAAGCGATTCTCCTGCCTCAGCCTCCTGAGTAGCTGGGATTACAGGCATATGCCACCATGCCTGGTTAATTTTTGTATTTTTAGTAGAAACGTGGTTTCACCATGTTGATCAGGCTGGTCTCGAACTCCTGATCTCGTGATCTACCCGCCTTGGCCTCCCAAAGTGCTTGATTACAGCTGTGAGCCATGTGCCCAGCCTATTTGTCACATATTTTATCTTTCCTTATGTTAGCTTATTAGCTTTATTTCTTTATTGTCCTTTTTTTTTTTTTTTGAGATGAAGTCTCGCTCTGTCTCCTAGGCTTCAGTGTAGTGGCACAGTCTCAACTCACTGCAGCCTTGACCTCCTAGGCTCAGGTGATCCTTCCACCTCAGTAGTTGGGACTATAGGCACATGCCACTATGCCTGGCCAATTATTTTTATTTTTTTATTTTTACTAGAGAGGAGGTCTTGCTTTGTTTCTTAGGCTGGTCTGGAACTCCTGGCCTCAAGCAATCCCCCCACCACCCCCTCCCAAAGTACTGGTATTATAAGCATGAGCCACCATGCCTGGGGTATCTGTGTCTTTTCCATTTATTTATAGAGTTACTTTGTCTTTTACTAATTCAATGATCTGTTTAATCTTTTATTAAATTATAAAAATGATAAATACTTTTAAATAAGTGAAAAATGTCCTTCACTCTTTAGACCCATAATCTTATCTCAGGAAATAATTGCAGTTGAGAAAATGGGCCATATCCTTCAAGATACGTACATGGTGATTGAACATCACTTCATATTTTCATATTTCGTGGACATTTGTGCCAATACCTATTGATCTATCTTAATCCTTTTCATGGTTGCATAATATTTTATTATATGGATGTATCACAATTTACCAGTACCAGTCAACTGCTGGAGGCATTTAGGCTCCTTCTAATATTTGCTTTGAGCTCTTTATATAATTAAAAATTAACCCCCTCAGCCAGGTGTGGCAGCTGACACCTGTAATCCCAGCATTTTGGAAGGCTGAGGTGAGAGAACTGCCTGAGTGTAGGAGATCACCACCAACCTGGTCAACATAGTGACACTTTGTCTCTACTAAAAATTAAAAAAAAAAAATGAGCTACACGTTGCAGTGCACACCTGTAGTCCGAGCTACTGGGGAGGCTAAGACTGGAGGATCACTTGAGTCTAGAAGGTTGAGGCTGCAGTAAGCTATGATCACACCATTGCACTTTAGCTTTGCTAAGAGCAAGACTGCATTTCTTAAACAAAATAAAAATTAGATGGGAATATTGCTCAAGCCCTGGAGGTTGAGGCTGCAGTTAACTGTGATTGCACCACTGCAGTCCAGCCTAGGTGATAGAGCAAGACCCTTTCTCTAAAAATAAAATAAAATAAAAATTAACCTTCTATCATATTTCCCAGTAACACCTTCCCTCCTACATTTCTCCTAGAAGCCCTTAAATTTTGTTTTTCACATATCGTTTAAAACTTTTAAGTGCTGATGTCTGTCTGTGTCATCCCTCTTTTTTTTTTTTTTTAAATGTCTTTTTGTCACTTCTAGCTGGACCTACCATGAAAGACTTCTGAATCCAGGAAGAGAAACTGACTGGGCAACATGTTATTCAGGTACAAAAAGACTTGGACTGTAACTCAAAAATGATCAAATAATAGTGCATGCATCAAGTGCAATCGGAAGCTCTTCTGGAGAGGGAGAGAAGCTTCCAGTTAAGGTGACATTGAAGCCAAGTCCTGTAAGATAAGGAAGAGTTGTATGAGAGTGGGGAGGGAAGGGGGAGGTGGAGGGATGGGGATTGGGCTGGGATGGGATGGAGTGAGCTGCCCAGGCAGGGAAACCAGCACTATACAGACCTGAACAATGAAGATGGCACATTTTGTTCAGGGTATGGTGAATTAAGTGTGGCAGAAATGCTTTGTAGAGACAGTAATTTGCCTGTATGGAATTTTGCCCAAGAGACCTCATTACAGTTTCTAATTTTTTGATGTTATCATGCATCACTGCCCTTGTCAGATAGTATCATGATCACAATAACATCAAGCATAATATTTCATTGATTCTCACAAAAACAGGTGGGTGCCACAGTTATCCCCATTATATGCACAAAATGATGAAGACTTGGGGTTAATGAGCGATTTGCCCAAGCTCACCTGAATATTAGGACTGAGTCAAATGTTAGTCTGGTCTGACTTTAATGCTTGCCTTGTTCATGAGCACCATGCATTGCCTCTCCTATTAAGTTAAGCAGGTAGACAGGTGAGAGAAGAGCCAGTGTGATATCGGGGGAAATTCACCCCTGATATTTCATGTAGGTTCTTTTCTATTTTCCCTGAGTGTCAGCCAGTCTGAGAAATAAAGGGAAAGAGTACAAAAGAGAGAAATTTTAAAGCTGGATGTCCAGGGGAGACATCACACGTCGGCAGGTTCCGTGATGCCCCCCAAGCCGCAAAACCAACAAGTTTTTATTAGTGATTTTCAAAAGGTGAGGGAGTGTACGAATAGGGTGTGGGTCACAGAGATCACATGCTTCACAAGGTAATAAAATATCACAAGGCAAATGGAGGCAGGGCAAGATCACAGGACCACAGGACTGGGGCGAAATTAAAATTGCTAATGAAGTTTCGGGCGCGCATTGTCATTGATAACATCTTATCAGGAGAAAGGGTTTGAGAGCAGACAACCCATCTGACCAACATTTATTAGGCGGGAATTTCCTTGTCCTGATAAGCCTGGGAGCGCCACGCGAACCCAGGGCTTATTTCATCCCTTATCTATGACTGTAAAAGACAGCCGTCCCCAAAGCGGCCATTTCAGAGGCCTCCCCTTAGGGATGCATTCTCTTTCTCAGGGATGTTCTTTGCTGAGAAAAAGAATTCAGCAATACTTCTCCTATTTGCTTTTGAAAGAAGAGAAATATGGCTCTGTTCAACCCGGCCCACAGGCAGCCAGAGTTTAAGGTTATCTCCCTTGTTCCCTGAAATTGCTGTTATCCTGTTCTTTTTTCAAGGTGCCCAGGTTTCATATTGTTTAAACAACTTGTGCAGTTAACGCAATTATCACAGGGTCCTGCGGGGACATTCATCCTCAGCTTACGAAGATGAGCGGATTAAGAGATTAAAGACAGGCATAGAAAATCACAAGGGTATTGATTGGGGAAGTGATAAGTGTCCATGAAATCTTCACAATTTATGTTCAGAGATTGCAGTAATGACAGGCCTAAGAAATTATAGAAGTATTAATTTGGGGAACTAATAAATGTCCATGAAATCTTCACAATTTATATTCTTCTGCTGTGGCTTCAGCCAGTCCCTCCGTTTGGGGTCCCTGACTTCCTGCAACACGTTTCTCTCTACTCACAGACTTCTGACCAAATGTGTGTGCAGAGTTTCTACACCAGTTCTCCAACTCTCTGGATGCCAACCGCGTATCCCACAATTCCATTCTGACACTACCTAGAGTTAGCACAGAACCCACAGGTTAGGGGCTCAGTCCCACAAGACCACCCTCACTTCAGATGCCAGTTGCAAGTCCTAGGTTGTCACCTGTATTTTGACCAACCAGTTAGAAATCAGGGTTTCCCATGACCCTCTTGTTGAGTTTAATTATTTACTAGAACAACTCACAGAACTTAGAAAAACAAGTTTTTTTTCTTTTCTTTTTAAGAGACAGGGCCTCGCTCTGTTGTCCAAGCTGGTGTGCAGTGGTGCAATCATAGCTTATTGAAGCCTCAACATCCAGGGCTCAAGTGATTCTCCTGCTTCAGCCTCTCAAGTAGCTGGAATTACAGGGTTCCCACCACCACATTTGGCTAATTTCTTTTATTTTTTGTATAGATGGGGTCTTCTTATGTTGCCCAGGTTGGTCTCAAATTCCTAGGCTCAAGTGATTCCGCCCACCTCTGCCTCCCAAAGTGCTGGGATTACGGGCATGAGCCAGTGCATCTGGCCACCTTATTTTCTATTACTGGCTCAATGTAATGGCTCCATCTCAGGAACAGCCAATGAAAGAGATGCACAGGACAAGGTAAGTGGGGAGGGGCACAGAGCTTCCATGCCCTCTGTTGGGCACACTACCCTCCCAGGACCTCCTTGTGTTTAGCAACACAGAAGCTCTCCAAACCCTGCTGTTTGGGTGTTTATGGAGGCATGATTGATAAAATCACTGGCCATTGGTAGTTAAGTCAATCTCCAGTTCCTTTTGCCTCCTGGAGTTCAGCAGGTGAGGCTGAAAGTTCCAAGCCTCAAAAAATGTGGTTGGGGCCAGGTGCGGTGGCTCACTCCTGTAATCCTAGCAGTTTGGAAGGCTGAGGCACATGGACCACTTGAGGTCAAGAGTTTGAGACCAGCCTGACCAACATGGTGAAACCCCGTTTCTACTAAAAATAACAACAGTTAGCTAGGCATTGTGGCACACCCCTATAATTCCAGCTACTCGGGAGGCCGAGGCAGGAGAATTGCTTGAACCCGGGAGGTGGAGGTTGTAGCGAGCTGAGATTGTGCCATTGCACTCCAGCCTGGGCTACAAGAGCCAAACTCTGTTTTAAAAAAAAAATGTGGTTGCTTTCTCTGGCAGCTAGCCCTCCTCCTGAAGCAGTCTCGGAGCTTGCAGCCACCCCGTTAGCTCAACAGCATCCCACATGCATTCTTACCATGCTGCAGATCTGAAAGACCTTAGAGGCCCTTGTGTCAGGAACCTGGGACTAAGACTAAATATCAAAACAGAAAATGCTCCTATTACCTCTGTCACGAAGGGCTTTATAAGAGCTTTGGAAGCTCTATGCCAGGAACCAGGGGCAGAGACCAAATGTATATTTCTTTTCTTATATCGGAGACAGAGTCTCACTCTGCCACTGAGGCTGGAGTGCAGTGATGTGATCATAGCTCACTGCAGCCTTGACCTCCTAGGCTAAAGCAATCCTCCCACCTTAGCCTCTCCAGTAGCTGGAACTACAGGCATGCATCACCATGTCCAGCTGATTTTAATTTTGTAAAGGCAGGATCTTCCTATTTTCCCCAGGCTGATCTCTAACTCTTGGCCTCAAGCAATCCTTCCTCTTTGGCCTCCCAAAATGTTGGGATTACAGATGGGAGCCCCCATACCCACCAATCACAAGGATCTTTATAAGAGAATGAGGTAGGAGAGTCAGAATTAGAGAAAGTGATGTGGTAATGGAAGAAGAGGTCAGAGAGGGAGATTTGAAGATGCTGCACTTCTGGCCTTGAATATGGAGTCACGAGGTAAGTCAAGGAATGGGGGTGGCTTCTAGAAGCTGGAAAAGGCAAAGGAGCACATTCTGTCTAGAGCCTCCCCCAGAAGGAATGCAGCCTCTCTGACACCTTGACTTTAGCCTTAATAGACCTAGTTGGGCTTCTGGCCCCCAGAACTGTAAGATGGTAGATTTGTGGTGTTTGATGCCACTAAATGTAGGGTACTTTGTTGTAGCAACAACAAAAAATGAACACGAAGCTGGGACCTCATGTTACAGTTGCTCACGCCTGTAATCCCAGAACTTTAGGAGGCTGAGGTGGGAGGATCGCTTAAGCCCAGGAGCTTAAGACCAGCCTGGGCAACATAATGAGACCTCATGTCTAAAAAAAATATTTTTTTAAAGGCCAGGCGCAGTGGCTCACGCCTGTAATCCCAGCACTTTGGGAGGCCGAGGAGGGTGGATCACGAGGTCAGAAGTTCAAGACCAGCCTAGCCAAGATGGTGAAACCCCATCTCTACTAAAAATACAAACATTAGCCAGGTGTGGTGGTGGGTGCCTGTAATCCCAGCTACTTGGGAGGCAGAGAATCACTTGAACCCAAAAGGCAGACATTGCAGTGAGCCAAGATCGCACCCTTACACTTCAGCCTGGGCGACCGAGACTCCGTCTCAAAAAAAAAAAAATAAAAGCCATGTGTTGTGGCATGCAGCTGTAGTCTCAGTTCCTAGGGTGGCTGAGGCGGGAGGATTGTTTAAGCCTGGGAGGTTGAAGTTGCTGTGAGCTGTGATTGCACCAGTGTACTCCAGCCTGGGCAATAAAGCAAGATCTTGTTTCAAAAAGAAAGAAAGAAATGAGCATGGTGGGAATGGGGACAGATGGCAGTGTTAAGTAGAGTGGTCAGGGTTGGCCTCATAAGTGAATATTGAGCAAAAGTTTGAAGCAGGTGATGGAGCTGGCCAAGGTGCTGAGGGAAGAGCATTGTAGGCTGAGTCAACAGGATAAAGGCATTAGGAGGAAACTCTCTGGTGTGTCTGAGGCTCTGGAAGGAGGCCAGTGGAGCAAAGAGATGGAGCGAAGTCAGCGAGGAGGCCAGGGAGTTGCTGGGCTGGGATCGGTACAGATCGTGTAAGCCCTGGGACGCTATTGCTGGGGCTTTGGCTTTTGCTCTGACTAAAATGGGAACCACCGAGGGCTTCTGAGCAGAGAGGCGACATGATCCGTCTCCTGATTTAAAAGCACGACCTGGCTGCCGAGTTGAGAAAGACTATGGGAAGATTTGGGTAGAAGCATGGGAGCCAAGCTGTGGCAACATCCCGGTGGGAGATGATAGTGATCCTGACGGGGTTCATGGTGGTGGTGAGAGATGGTTAGAGCCTGGATACATGTTGAAGTCAGTCAGTAGGATTTCCTGACAGACTGGATGTGAGCTGTGAGAGAAGGCAGTGGTCAAGGTTGAGTTTGATTCTGATTGAATTATTAAGTAATTTTAAAAAACACTACTGCTTTTCCCAATCCTACCAAGTAAAGGATGCTAGATAAAAGAAATCCCAAGTCAGGCCAGGTACAGTGGCTCACACCTATAGTTCCAACAGTTTGAGAGGCAGAGATGGGAGTATGTTTTAAGGCCATGAGTTTGAGAGCAGCCTGGGCAACACAGCAAGACCTCCTCTCTACAAAAATAAAAAAAATAAATTTAATAAAAGAAAATAAATATAGCCAGGCATGATGGTATGTACCTATGGCCCCAGTTACTCATGTGGCTGAGATGGGCAGATCTCTTGATTCTAGGAGTTTGAGGCCAGCTTGGGCAACATAGCAAGTCTTCTCTCTCTACAAAAATGAAAAAAATGCCTGACATGGTGGTACTTGCCTGTATTCCCAGGTATGGGGGCAGCTGAGGCAGGAGCATCTCTTGAGCCCAGTTGGTCAAGGTTGCAGTGAGCTATGATTATACCACTGCACTCCATCCTGGGTGACAGAGTGGGACCCTGTCTCAAAATACAAATACAAATGAAATCTCAAGTCAGACCAGTCCCTTCTAGGCTATGTAGGCCTTGTAACCATACAGCTGCATGATCGGGTTTGTGTGGCTGTGGATGAGGAGACCCCTGTCCAATTGTTGGCTATGTAATCAGTTTATTTTTCAATATAGTAATCAAATATATTTCATCATACTTGATGGTCTCAGATATGTGTGGATTTTGGAATTTCCCTTGGAACAGGTTGTAACATCTTATTGGCTCCATAATTCCATAATTTTTTAAATCGGATCAGTTTTTAATAAGATCGCAATTTATATTAGACTACTTAATCGGTTTTGTTAATGAGAAAATGAAATTGTGTTGTTTGCATTTTATCCAAGATGGGTGTCATATTGGGTAAATCTCATCAATACTTGAACAAATGCAAAATTAGAGCTTCTTTATCATGAAACACGATGTAATTCTTGAAGAAGATGCCATTTCTTTTTTTTCTTTTTTTTTTTAAGATAAGAGTCTTTCTCTTGTCACCCAGGCTGGAGTGCAATGGTGCGATTTTGGCTCACTGCAACCTTCACCTTCTGGGTTCAAGCAATTCTCCTGCCTCAGCCTCCCGAGTAGCTGGGATTACAGGTGCCCGCCACCATACCCAGCTAATTTTTGTATTTTTAGTAGAGATGGGATTTCACCATGTTGGCCAGGCTCCTCTGGAGCTCCTGACCTCAGGCAATCTGCCTGCCTCAGCCTCCCAAAATTCAAGGAGTACAGATGTGAACAACCACGCCCGGCCTCCATTTCTTTTTTGTAGTCTTTAATAAACAGCTGCTATCATTGCAGACTTGCTGTTTAGGCACTTAGGAATTTTTCACTAGAAGGCATGTAAATAAAGACCATGGGCAATTGTAATGAATTTCGCCTTCATTCTTTGACTACATGACTGTCCCCAGAGCTGTAACTTTATTGAATTTTTTAGAAGCCATTTAGCTAGCAACTGAGCCTAACCAGCCACTCACTGTCATTATTCAGTGCTCTTTTATTATTGTCTATTTCTCCTCCAACTTGGCTACACTCACAAAGTGATAAAAACTTGCATTTGTTTTCTTTCCTTTTCAGAGACAGCGTCTTGCTCTGTTGCTTAGGCTACAGTACAGTGACATGATCATGGTTCACTGTAGCCTCAAACTCCTGGGCTCAAGTGGTTCTCTCACTTCAGTCTCCCAAGTAGCTGGGACTACAGACATGTGCCACCATGTCCAGGTAATTTTTTATCATAGAGACGGGATCTTGCCATGTTGCTCCGACTGGGCTCAAAACTCCTGACCTCAAGTGATCCTCCTGCCTCAGCCTCCCAAAGTGCTGGGATTACAGGCAGGCATGACCACCTGTGCCCAGCCCCCTATTATTATTATTTTAAATAATAGCTTTATTAAAATATTCACATACCATTCACTTTATTTATTGAAATCTGCAATTCAGTAGGTTTTAGAATATTCACAGAGCTGTGCATCGATCACCACAGTCACTTTTAGAACCTTTCATTACCCTATAGAGAAATCCATACCCCTTAGCCACTACCTCCTACTCTCCCCACCTACCTTTGCCCCCAGCCTTAGGCAACCATTGATTAATTTTTTTGTCACTATAGATTTGCCTAATCTGGACAAATAGAATTGTACAATATGTGATCTTTTGTGGCTTTTTTTCCCTCTTAGCACAGTGTTTTCAAAGTTCCTTTATGTCATAGTGTGTATCAATATTTCATTCCTTCTATGGCAGTATTCCATGGTAGAGACACACTGCATTTTGTTTATCTGTTCATCAGTTGGTGGATATTTGGGTTGTTTCCATGTATTCCATGTATTGGTCATTATGAATAATGCTGCTATGAAGATTGTTGTACAAGTTTTTGTGTGGACATATATTTTTATTTTTCTGGGATATATGCCTAGGAGTGAAATTGTTGCATTATAGGATGACTGTACATTTAGCCTTTTGAGAAACTGCCAGAATGTTTTCTAACGTGGCTATACCAGTTGGGTGCAATGGCTCACACCTGTAATCCCAGCTACTCAGGAGGCTCAGCTAGGAGGATGGCTTGAGCCCGTGAATTCAAGACCAGCCTGGGCAAGATAGTGAAACCCCGTCTTGATTTTTTAAAAATCCAATTAAAATGACAAGAAAAGAAATACCCAAACAAAATGGTTACACAATTTTATGTTCCCACCAGTAATGTATGTGGGTTCCAATTCCTCCACATCTTCACTGACATTTTTTTTTCTAGATAGGGGCTTGCTCTGTCTCTCAGGCCGCAGTGCAATGATGCCATCACAGTTCACTGCAGCCGTGACCTCCCAGGCACAAGTGATTCTCTCATCTCAGCCTCCTGGGTAGCTGAAAATTACAGGTGTACGCCACCATGCCTGGCTAATTTTTATATTTTTCTGTAGTGGTGGGATTTTACCATGTTGCCCAGGCTGGTCTCATACTCCTGGCCTCAAGTGATCTGCCCACCTCAGCCTCCCTAAGTTCTGGAATTACAGGCTGCCACCATGCCCGGCCTTCACCAACATTTGCCATTATCTGTTTTTTTTTTCTTCCTTTATACCTTAAAGCAGTATAAGAACAAGTGTCTTCAATTATAGGAAACAGTATAATCCCAGGGCTTTGGGAGGCTAAGACAGGAAGATGTCTTGATGCCAGGAGTTTTTTTTGTTGTTGTTGTTTTTGTTTTTGTTGTTGTTGTTGTTGTTGACAGTCTCGCTCTGTCACCCAGGGTGGAGTGCAGTGATGGGGTCCACTGCAACCTCCACCTCCCAGGTTCAAGTGATTCTCCTGCCTCAGCCTCCCGAGTAGGTGAGACTACAGGCACACGCCACTACTGCCCAGCTGATTTTTGTATTTTTGATAGAGTCAGAGTTTCACCGTGTTGGCCAGGCTGGTCTCGAACTCCAGACTTCAGGTGATTTGCCTGCCTTAGCTTCCCAAAGTGCTGCGATTACAAGCATGAGCCACCATGCCCAGCCTGATGCCAGGAGTTTTAGACTAGCCTGGGCAACCTAGCAAGACCTTGTCTCTACAGAATATTTAAAAATTAGCCAAATGTGGTGGTGCCTGTGTATAGTCTCTCTCCCTCTCTCTTTTTTTTTTCTAACTTTTTGTGACATGGTCTGGCTCTGTCACCCAGGCTGAAGTGCAGTGGTGTGATCATGGCTCACTGCAGCCTGAAACTCCTGGGATCAAGTGATCAATCCTCCCACCTCATCCTACCAAGTAGTAGGGACCACAGGTGTGTGCCACCCAGGTCTTGCTATGTTGTCCAGGCTGGTCTTGAGCTCCTGGCCTCAAGCAATCCTCTCACCTTGGCCCCCCACAGTGCAAGGATTACAGGTATGAGCCACCATGCCTGGCCCCTACCCTGCCTACTGAGAACCAAAGGAAGGATCCAAATTCTCCTTAGCTCAACTCGAGCCATTTCCTGATTGCTTCATCAGCGAGGAGCTGGTTATTGGGCTGTCCAGGCCTCCCAAGCAGCACAGAAATGAGGTGAAGGAGTTTTCCTGTTGCTCCACTCTGTAAGGAGTTGGAGGGTGATGTTTACTCGTTTGCAGAGAGAGATGCCTTGTAGGCACCTCAGGATGGAGAGGGCCCTGATTCCAATGTCCTTTTTTTCTTCAGAAACAGGACCTTGCCCTGTCACTCAGGATGGAGTTCAGTGGTCCTATCATGGCTCATTATAGCCTCAAACTCCCAGGCTCAAGCAATCCTACCATGTCAGCCTTCCCAGTAGCTGGGACTACAGGTAAGCATCGTGACACTCAGTGAATTTTGTTTTTATTTTGTTGTAGAGATGGGACCTCAGTATGTTGCCATGGCTGACCTTGAACTCCTGCACTCAAGGGATTTTCCTACCCTGGCCTCCCAAAGTATTGGTATTACAGGCATGAGCCATTGTGCCCACCGTCTCTGGTTCTTAACCTTCTGCCTCCCTCTTCCAGTTTTAAAGAATGCTTGTAATTACATGGGCTCTCCTAGATACTCCAGGATAATCTTGTTTTAAGGTCAGCTGATGAGCAACATTAATTTTATCTGCACTCTTAATTCCCCCTTCCTCTGTAACTGTGCTGTGTAACATAGGACATGAGCAATTGGTGGCGGTGGGGGTTATTACTTTGGCCACCACAGTAACTATTTTATGCCAGGTACTCAGCTAAGCACTGGTGAATTAAGCATGAATAACACACACTCCCTAATCTCCATCCATTCATGGGAGGAGCACTTCACCTGCCATGCTCCTGAGAATCTCGGGAGTCATAGAAGTCTTCTATGAGGAGGTGATGCCAAAGCGGACAAGTGACAGAGGAGTCAAAGCTAGCTAGGAAGAGAGTAGAGGTTTAAGGGGAAGCATATTATAAGCAGAGGATATTACCCACTTCAGAGACTCCCAGAGGAGAAAGAGTGTGCGTTCAAGGGGCAGATGAGGCTCAGTTGGACTCCATAGCAGATGAAATGGAGAGGGGCAAGCAGTGAGGCTGCCTTGCAAGGCAGGGCAGAGCAGGGGCTGTTAAGGAGTTTGGACTTAATCCCTGAGGCAAGGAGAAGTGATGTAAATGGGGGAGTAACATGATGAGATTCATAGATTAGAGACATGGCTCAGGCTGCTGTAGAGAAGGCACCGGGAAGAGCAGATGGCTCAATGTGTGTGCAGAAGACCTCTCCCTGAGTTTAGGGAGAGGTTTTTAAAACAGAAGAAGTTTGAGTAATTTAAATGATGATGGGAAGGAGCTAAAAGTGGGGGATAGGTTAAAGATACAGGAAAGTGGGAGGAAGAACTGACAAGTGAGGTTCCAGAGAGGGCAGGAGAAGAGGAGATTCCCATAGGGGGATTAACACTTTCTTTTCTTTTTTCTTTCTAAGACAGGGTCTCACTCTGTCGCCCAGGCTGGAGTGCAGTGGCACAATCTTGGCTCACTGTAGTGTAGACTTCCCAGGCTCAAGGGATTTCTCCCACCCCAGACTCCCAAGTAGCTGGAACTACGGGTGTGCACCACCACCACACCTGGCTAATGTCTCTTTTTTTTGGTAGACACAGAGTCTCACTATTTAGCACTGATTGGTCTCCAACTCCTGGCCTCAAGCGATCCTCCTGCCTAGGCTTCCCAAATTGCTGGGATTACAGGCATGAGCCACAATGCCTGGCCTCTGCTAGTTCCGTATTCTCTAGAGTTGTCTTTACTTTGTGCTAGTGTGTCCCTCATTGTGCTGATCCTCTGTAAAAATTAATACCTTTTTTTTTTTTTGAGATGGAGTTTCACTCTTGTTGCCCAGGCTGGAGTGCAATGGCGCTATCTCGGCTCAGCGCAACCTCCACCTTCTGGGTTCAAGCAATTCTCCTGCCTCAGCCTCCCGAGTAGTTGGGATTACAGGCATGTGCCACCATGCCCAGCTAATTTTGTATTTTTAGTAGAGATGGGGTTTCTCTGTGCTGGTCAGGCTGGTCTCGAACTCCTGACCTCAGGTGATCTGTCTGCCTTGGCCTCCCAAAGTGCTGGGATTACAGGCATGAGCCATTTTGCCTGGCCAAAATTAATACTTTTTATATTAAATTTACATATATATATATATATATATATATATATATATACGTTTTTTCTTTTTGATACCGGGTCTCACACTGTCACCCAGGCTGGAGTACAGTGGCACAACCTCTGCTCACTGCAGCCTCCACCTGCCAGGCTCAAGCAATTCTCCTGCCTCAGCCTCCCGAGTAGCTGGGATTACAGGTAAGTGCCACCACACCCAGCTGATTTTTGTGTTTTTTGTAGAGACGAGGTTTCGCCATGTTTCCCAGACTGTTCTCAAACTCCTGAGCTCAAAGCAGTCCACCCACCTTGGCCTCCCAGAGTTCTGGGATTACAGGTGTGAGCCATCTTGCTCATTCTAGTTTAAACTTTTGAGTGGTTTGTGTCTCCTGATTGGACTCCTACAAATACAGAATTGATGCTAGGAAGGGTACCAGGAGATAGACGCACACAGATGGGATTTGGGAATAGGTTTGGTTATCCAAGGAGCAGTGCTGAGCTCCTTGCAATGGGATATGGGATGCTGGTGATTTCCAGGATGTGAGCTCACAATGACTCAAGCTGCCACATACTGTTGATTGTGAAATGCCAGTTGAAGCATATGTCCTGCGAGCTTAGGGGTGCTACAAGTTGACCACTGCAGCAGTAAAGATGACTCTGAAGAATGGCGTGGGTTGGTTCCTTTCAAATGCACTTGAGCAGCGGTCTCCAACCACAGGGCCACAGAGCTGGAGGTGAGCAGCAGGCGAGTGAAGGGAAACTTCATCTGTATTTCTAGCCCCTCCCATCGCTTGCATGACCACCTGAGCTCCATGTCCTGTCAGATCAGCAGCAGCATTAGATTCTCACAGGAGCACAAACTCTGTTGTGAAGTGTGCATGCGAGGGATCTAGGTTGTGTACTCCTTATGAGAATCTAATGCCTGATATTCTGTTACTGTCTCCCATCACCCCAGATGGACAGTCTAGTTGCAGGAAAACAAGCTCAGAGATCCCACTGAGTCTACGTTATAGTGAGTTGTAGAATCATTTCATTATATATTACTATGTAGTAATAATAGAAATAAAGTGCACAATATATGTAATGCACTTGAATCATCCTGAAATTATTCCCTCATTCCCAGTCTGTGGAAAAATTGTCTTCCACACATTCACTCTGTTTTTTGGTAGAGGCAGGGTCTTAATATATTGCCCAGTCTGATCTCAAACTCCTGGCCTCAAGTAATATACCTCTCTCAGCCTCCCAAAGTGCTGAGATTACAGGCATAAGCCACCACCCTCAACCAAGACTTTCTTAAACCAAATAAAAATTAAGTGAGATTACTTGAGCCCAGGTGGTCAAGGCTGCAGTGAGCCTGATTGCACCACTGCACTCCAGCCTAGGTGACAGAATGAGACTGTCTCAAAAAATAAAATAAAATACAAATTAACCCTTCATGACATTCCCAGTAACTTCCTAAGTGCTCCCCACAAGTCTTTGAATTCTGTTTAATTCTCACATAACATTTAAGACATTTAAGAACTTATGTCTGTCTGTGTCATCCCTTTATGTCAAAAGATGTCTTTTTGTCACTTCCAGCTGGATCTACCATGAAAGACTTGTGAATCCAGGAAGAGAGACTGACTGGGCAACATGTTATTCAGGTACAAAAAGATTTGGACTGTAACTTAAAAATGATCAAATTATGTTTCCCATGCATCAGGTGCAATGGGAAGCTCTTCTGGAGAGTGAGAGAAGCTTCCAGTTAAGGTGACATTGAAGCCAAGTCCTGAAAGATGAGGAAGAGTTGTATGAGAGTGGGGAGGGAAGGGGGAGGTGGAGGGATGGGGAATGGGCCGGGATGGGATAGCGCAAACTGTCCGGGAAGGGAAACCAGCACTGTACAGACCTGAACAACGAAGATGGCATATTCTGTTCAGGGAATGGTGAATTAAGTGTGGCAGGAATGCTTTGTAGACACAGTAATTTGCTTGTATGGAATTTTGCCTGAGAGACCTCATTGCAGTTTCTGATTTTTTGATGTCTTCATCCATCACTGTCCTTGTCAAATAGTTTGGAACAGGTATAATGATCACAATAACCCCAAGCATAATATTTCGTTAATTCTCACAGAATCACATGTAGGTGCCACAGTTATCCCCATTTTATGAATGGAGTGATGAAAACCTTAGGAATAATGAATGATTTGCGCAGGCTCACCTGGATATTAAGACTGAGTCAAATGTTGGGTCTGGTCTGACTTTAATGTTTGCTTTGTTCATGAGCACCACATATTGCCTCTCCTATGCAGTTAAGCAGGTAGGTGACAGAAAAGCCCATGTTTGTCTCTACTCACACACTTCCGACTGAATGTACGTATGGAGTTTCTACACCAGATTCTTCAGTGCTCTGGATATTAACTGGGTATCCCATGACTTTATTCTGACACTACCTGGAGTTAGCACAGACCCCACAAGTTAGGGGCTCAGTCCCACGAGGCCATCCTCACTTCAGATGACAATGGCAAGTCCTAAGTTGTCACCATACTTTTGACCAACCTGTTACCAATCGGGGGTTCCCGTAACTGTCTTCTTGGGTTTAATAATTTGCTAGAACAGTTTACGGAACTCAGAAAAACAGTTTATTTTCTTTTTTTCTGAGAGAGAGGGTCTTATTTTGTTGCCCAGGCTGGTGTGCAATGGTGCAGTCATAGCTCATTGCAGCCTTGATTGTCTGGGTTCCAGTGGTTCTCCCACCTCAGCCTCCCTAGTAGCTGAGACTACATGCCTGCACCACCACATCTGGCTAGTTTCTTTTATTTTTTGTATAGATGGGGTCTTGTTGTGTTGGCCAGGCTGGCCACAAATTCCTGGTCTCAAGTGATCCTCCCACCTCAGCCTCTGAAAGTGCTGGGATTACAGATGTGAGCCACCACATCTGGCCAGTTCATTTCCTATTACTGGTTCATTGTGAAGGATACATCTCAGAAACAGTCAATGAAAGAGACGTGCATGCTGGATGCAGTGGCTCATGCCTGTAATCTCAGCACTTTGGGAGGCCAAGGTGGGAGGATCGCTTAAACTCAGGAGTTTGAGACCAGCCTGGGCAACATGGTGAAAACCTGTCTCTATAAAAAATTAAAAAATAATAATAATAACTGGTGTGGTGTTGTGCACCTAGAGTTCCAACTACTAGGGAAGCTGAGATGAGAGGATACCTTGAGCTGGGGACTGGGGAGGCTTAGGTTACAGTAAGCTGAGATTGTGCCACTGCACTCCAGCTTGGACAAAAGAGCCTGATCCTGTCTCAAAAAAAAGAAAGATACCCAGGGCAAGTTAAGTTCGGAGGGGCACAGAGCTCCCATGCCCTCTGTTGAACATGCGACCCTCCCAGCATCTCCTGTGTCCAGCAACCCTGAAAGCTCTGCAAACCCCTTTCAGGGTGTTTATGGAGGCTTTATTATGCAAGCATGATTGATAAAACCTTTGGCTGTTGGTGATTAAGTCAGTCTCCAGCCCCTCTTCCCCCTGGAGTTCAGTGCATGAGGCTGAAAGTTCCAAGCCTCTTACCATGTGGTTGCATGGTAATCAGCCCTCCTCTTGAAGAAATTTAGGAGCTTGCAGTCACCCAGTCATCTCAACAACATCCCCAAATGCATTCTTACCATGCTGGAGATCCCAAAGTTCTTAGAGGCTCTTGTGTTAGAAACCTGGGACCAAGACCAAATATTAAAACAAAAGATGCTCCTGTCACATCTATCACTGAGGTCTTTGTAAGAGCTTTAGAAGCTCTGTGCCAGGAACCAGGGACAGAGATTAAATATATATTTCTTTTCTTTTTTTTGAGACAGAATCTTCCTGTGCCATCCAGGCTGGAGTGCAGTGATGTGATCATAGCTCACTATAGCTTTGGCCTTCTGAGATCAAGCAATCCTCCCATCTCAACCTCCCAAGTAGCTAGGACTACACACGCATGTCACCCATGCCCAGATCATTTTTGTAGAGTCAGAGTTTCACCGTGGTGGCCAGGTTGGCCATGTTGGCCAGATGGGGTCTTCTTTTGTTGCCCAGGCTGGCCACAAATTCCTGGGCTCAAGTGATCCTCCCACCTCGTCCTTGTAGAGATGAGATTTAGTTATGTCGTCCAGGCTGATCTCAAACTCCTGGGCTAAATCGATTGTCTCACCTCAGCCTCTCAAGTATGTTATGAAGGTTATATGTTAGGAAGGGTCCCAGGAGGTAAACCCACACAGATGGGATTTGGGCATAGGTTTGGTTTCCCAGGGGGCAGTGCTGAGCTCTTTGCCAGTGGGAAATGGGATGCTGGTGATTTCCAGTAGGTGACCTCACAGTGACTCAAGCTACCACTTACTGTTGATTGTGACGAAATGCCAGCTGAGGCACATGCCTTGGGAGCTAAGTGGTTGCTGCCCTTGACCACTGTGAAGACTGGTGTGGGAAGGGTCGTTTTGGATGCACTTGAGCAGGGGTCCCCAACCCCTGAGCCATGGAGCCGCAAGGAGCCACACAGCAGGAGGTGAGCGGTGTCGAGTGAGGGAGTGAGGGAAGCTTCGTCTGTATTTACAGCCACTCCCCTTTGCTCACATTCCCGCCTGAGCTCCACCTTCTCAGATGAGCAGCAGCATTAGATGCTCATAGGAGAACGCACCCTGTTGTGAACTGTGCATGTGAGGGATCTGGGTTGCGCTGTCCTTATGAGAGTCTAATACCTATTGATCTGTCACTTTCTCCCATCACGCTCAGGTGGGAACATCCAGTTGCAGGAAAACAAGCTTAACACGCCCACTGATTCTACATTATGGTGAGTTCTATAATTATTTTATTATATATTACAGTGTAATAATGGAAATAAAGTGCCTAATAAATGCAAATGTGCTTACATCTTTTGGCCCAGCTCCTACCTCCCGGCAGCCTCTCCAGGCCCAGAACTTTCTCCAGTCAGCCTCTACAGACCAAGCTCATGACTCTCAATGGCCTATTTAGGCCCATACCCTACGTCACGGCAGCCTCCGCAGATGAGGCTACTGCCTCACAACAGCCTCCACAGGCACAGCTCCATCGTTACAATGGCCTCTTTAGACCCAGCTCCTGCCTCCCAGCCTTCTCTCCAGGCCCTGAACTTTCTCAGTAAGTTCAGGTAGCTGGGACTGTAGGTATACATGACGATACTTGGCTAATTTTTAAATTGTTTTGTAGACACGGGGTCTCACTTTTTTGGCCAGGCTGGTGTCAAACTAATGGCCTCAAGTGACCCTTCCACCCCTGCCTCCCATCCTCGAGGTATGTGCCACCACAAGGAGCACTTGTTCAATTTTCTAAAAAAGAAATTTCTAAAGTAAGGCTGTGGGATGATGGCAGGAAGATAAAAGAAAAACAGAAGAATAAGTTAAAATGACTTATTCACGCATATTCTTTTGACAGCAAGAAGAACTTTTAGTATATACATTCCTTACAAACAAACAAAAGGCAGATAAACAATGTTGTATAGGAACTTCAACACACACTGTACAATATTCCCACTTTGCTGACATAAGTTATGGAAATTTCATGGTTTACTTGAGTGTCGCTACCAGTATTTTGCTTCTCTGATGATTTTTATCAACTTCCTCATCTGTTAACTTCTCTCCAAGGTATGTCATGTCACGACATACTGCCGCTGCACGAACATGGCCAGTGTCTTCCTATTCAACATGTAGAATGCTTTCCTAATTTCTCTTTTTACTCTCTGTCTTTGTGTTCTGCATTTTCCTTACTTTTATTGTCAGAAACTCCAGAAAGTCAATCGTACTAATTTATCACGATTTGCTTTATTAATTTATACTTTGCTTATATGGAATTTTGCCCAGCAGACCTCATCACAGTTTCTAACCTGCTTTATTTATTTATTTATTTTTTTCTGAGACAGGGTCTCCCTCTGTTGTCCAAGGCTGGAGTGTAGTAGTGCTATCGCAGCTGACTGCAGCCTCAACCTTCCAGGCTGAAGCGATCCTCCCACCTCAACCTCCCACGTGGCTGAGACTACAGGTGCTTGCCACTATGCCCAACTAACATTTGGAATTTTCGTATACGTGGATTCTAGAGGGGTGACAGCGAAACGTGAGTAAGCATGGATTTTGGTATATGCAGAGATGGGGGGCTGGAACTAATTCTGTATACTGAGGGATGACGACTGTGTATGTTTTTACAATTACGCTGTAGGATACATACTGTTGCATAGCCTTGAAAATAATAATTTTTAATTGAGTGGAATAAGAATAATATTGATAAAAGTAGCAGCTGGCCAGGTGTGGTGGCTCACACTGGTAATCGCAACACTTTGGGAGGCTGAGGCAGGAGGATGGCTTGAGGCCAAGAGTTTGCGATAGGCCTTGGAAACAAAGGGGGAGTCACCATCCCTACAGAAAAATACATGAATTAGCCTAGTGTGGTGGCATGTTCCTGTAGTCCCAGCTACTTGGGAGGCTGAGGTGGGAGGATCACTTGAGCCCAGGGAGGCTGAGACCGCAGTGAGTCATGATCAGGCCTCTGCACTCCAGCCTGGGTGACAGAGTGAGACCCTGTCTCAAAACAACAAAAAAGTAGCAGCTAACATCAACTGACCTTTTACCAGGTGCCTATTGATACCATAGTTTAATTTCTTATAACTGTTTCTTATTTCACTTACCAACTCTGTCTTCAGTTACTCCCAGATTTTTACTGTGTGTGTACAGATGACCTTTTGCTTAGATTGAATTGTCTCCCCAGAAGTAAGATTACTGTGAGTCATGGTGAATGGACATTCTCCTTACCCTTGATGTAAATTGACAGGGTTTTGGGTGCCTCCCAGCTATAATCTTAGCACTTTGGGAGGCTAAGAGAGGAGGATTGCTTGAGGCCAAGAGTTGGAGGAGGCAGTATGGCAGTATGGTGAGACCCTGTCTCCATTATTTTAAAAAATTGACAGGCTTTACCCTGGAAGGCTTATACACAATTTAACCACCCCTCATAGTATAAGAAAGTGCCCATTTCACTGCACCTTTGCCAGCACAGGGTATTATAATTTAGTAAGCCATTTTTTGTTTGATTATTTTAAATAGACAAAAGACCTCATATTACTTTACTTGTCACATTTCAACATCTTTCCTCAGCTTATTAGCTCTATTTCTTTTCTGTCTGTAAATGGTTGTTGTGGTTTTGTTCTTTGAGACAGGGTCTTGCTCTGTCATCCGGCTGGACTGTAGTGGCATAATCATGCCTCACTGCAGCCTTGACCTCCCAGGCTCAAACTTCAGCATTCCGAGTAGCTGGGACTACAAGTGTGCACCACCACCCCCAGCTAACTTTTTTCTTCTTTTGGATAGAGACAGGGTCTCACTGTGTCGTCCAGAGCGGTCTCTAGCTCCTGGCCTTAAGCAATCCTCCTGCATTAGCTTCTGTAATGGCTGGAATTTCAGGCATGAGCCACCATGCCTGGCCTGGGCTAGTCCCATATTCTCTAGAGTTATCTTTACTCTGTGCTAGCCAATCTCTCATTATGCTGTTCACCTGTTATAATGAATAATTCTCTGTATTAAATTTTACCACTTTAAACTTTTGAGTGGTTTATGCTTCCTGATTGGACTCTGACTAATATGTTAGGAAGGGTCCCAGGAGGTAAACCCACACAGATGGGATTTGGGCATAGGTTTGGTTTCCCAGGGGGCAGTGCTGAGCTCTTTGCCAGTGGGAAATGGGATGCTGGTGATTTCCAGTAGGTGACCTCACAGTGACTCAAGCTACCACTTACTGTTGATTGTGACGAAATGCCAGCTGAGGCACATGCCTTGGGAGCTAAGTGGTTGCTGCCCTTGACCACTGTGAAGACTGGTGTGGGAAGGGTCGCTTTGGATGCACTTGAGCAGGGGTCCCCAACCCCTGAGCCATGGAGCCGCAAGGAGCCACACAGCAGGAGGTGAGCGGTGTCGAGTGAGGGAGTGAGGGAAGCTTCGTCTGTATTTACAGCCACTCCCCTTTGCTCACATTCCCGCCTGAGCTCCACCTTCTCAGATGAGCAGCAGCATTAGATGCTCATAGGAGAACGCACCCTGTTGTGAACCGTGCATGTGAGGGATCGAGGTTGCGCTGTCCTTATGAGAGTCTAATACCTATTGATCTGTCACTTTCTCCCATCACGCTCAGGTGGGACCATCCAGTTGCAGGAAAACAAGCTTGACACGCCCACTAATTCTACATTATGGTGAGTTCTATAATTATTTTATTATATATTACAGTGTAATAATGGAAATAAAGTGCCTAATAAATGCAAATGTGCTTACATCTTTTGGCCCAGCTCCTACCTCCCGGCAGCCTCTCCAGGCCCAGAACTTTCTCCAGTCAGCCTCTACAGACCAAGCTCATGACTCACAATGGCCTATTTAGGCCCATACCCTACGTCACGGCAGCCTCCGCAGATGAGGCTACTGCCTCACAACAGCCTCCACAGGCACAGCTCCATCGTTACAATGGCCTCTTTAGACCCAGCTCCTGCCTCCCAGCCTTCTCTCCAGGCCCTGAACTTTCTCAAGTCGACCTCACCAGGCCCAGCTCATGCTTCTTTGCAGCCTCTCCAGGCCCAGCTCCTGCATCTTGGTGGCCCCTCCAGGCCCAGCCTCTGCCTCCCGTCAGCCTCTACAGTCCCAACGTCTGCCTCACAGCAGATTCTTCACGCCCAGCATCTACCTCACTGTGGACCCCCCAAGCCAAGCTCCCAACCTTTCAGCAGCTTCTACACACCCAGCTCCCGCCTGCCAGTGGCCTCTTCAGGCCCATGGGGCTCATTCCTGACAACGGCCTTTCCAGGCCCAGTTTTTCCCTTCCGGCGGCCTCTCCGGGCCCAGAACCTCCTCAAGTCAGCCTCTCCAGACCCACTTGCACCCTCCGGGCGTTCTCTCCGGGCCCAGCTCTTCTTCCTGGTTGGGTCTCCAGGCCCGATTCCTGCCTCTCAACAACCTCTTTGGACTCAGTGCCTACCCATCTCCTGGCGGCCTTGGTCGGCCCACAGCTTCCTCAAGCCAAGCTCCCCAGGCCCAGGTCAGGCCTCACGGTGGCCTCTCCAGGATGAGCTCCTGCCCTCCGATGGCATCTCCAGGCCCCAAATGGTCTCCGGTCGGTGGGCTCCTCCACGCCAAGGTTGGGCCTCCCGGCGACTGCCGCAGGCCCAAGTTGTCCTGAAGTCGGGCTCTCCCGGCCCTGCCTCCCAGCAAGTAAGCAAGCTCTTTTGGCTCAACTCCTGCCCAGCTCCCAACCGCCTTTGTAGGCCCCGAACTTTCTCCAGCCAAGCTCTGAGGGCCCACCTCCTGCCTCCTGGTGGCCTGTACAGTTCTAGCACTGGTTGGAGAACAGCCTCTGCAGGCCCCGCCTTGCCTCCCAGGGGCCTCTCCAGGCCAAGCTCTTGCACCCACGGCGGCCTCCCGGGGCAAGTCCCTGCCTGCCTCCCAGCAGCCCGCGTGCGCCCAGCTCCTCCCTCACGGTGGCCTGTTGATGCCAACTCATGCCTCTGGACCCTGCACAGAGCGTGACGCTGCCTCACACTGGCTACTCCACGCTGAGAGAGGTCAGTGTGAGCCCTTGCCTCACACCGGCTCCTCCCACGCTTGAGAGAGGTCAGCGTGAGCCCCTTGCCTCACACCGGCCCCTCCCACGCTGAGAGAGGTCAGTGTGAGCCCTTGCCTCACACCGGCCCCTCCCACGCGGACAGAGGTCAGCGTGAGCCCCTTGCCTCACACCGGCCCCTCCCACGCTGAGAGAGGTCAGTGTGAGCCCTTGCCTCACCCCGGCCCCTCCCACGTGGACAGAGGTCAGCGTGAGCCCCTTGTCTCACACCGGCCCCTCCCACGCTGAGAGAGGTCAGTGTGAGCCCTTGCCTCACACCGGCCCCTCCCACGCGGACAGAGGTCAGCGTGAGCCCCTTGCCTCACACCGGCCCCTCCCACGCGGACAGAGGTCAGCCCGAGCCCCTTGTCTCACACCGGCCCCTCCCATGCTGAGAGAGGTCAGCGTGCCCCTTGTCTCACACCGGCCCCTCCCACGCTGAGAGAGGTCAGCCCAAGCCCCTTGCCTCACACCGGCCCCTCCCACGCGGACAGAGGTCAGCCCGAGCTCCTTGCCTCACACCGGCCCCTCCCACGCTGAGAGAGGTCAGTGTGAGCCCTTGCCTCACACCGGCCCCTCCCACGCGGACAGAGGTCAGCGTGAGCCCCTTGCCTCACACCGGCCCCTCCCACGCTGAGAGAGGTCAGTGTGAGCCCTTGCCTCACACCGGCCCCTCCCACGCGGACAGAGGTCAGCGTGAGCCCCTTGCCTCACACCGGCCCCTCCCACGCTGAGAGAGGTCAGCCCGAGCCCCTTGCCTCACACCGGCCCCTCCCACGCTGAGAGAGGTCAGCGTGAGCCCCTTGTCTCACACCGGCCCCTCCCACGCTGAGAGAGGTCAGCCCGAGCCCCTTGCCTCACACCGGCCCCTCCCACGCTGAGAGAGGTGTGAGCCCCTTGTCTCACACCGGCCCCTCCCACGCGGACAGAGGTCAGCGTGAGCCCCTTGCCTCACACCGGCCCCTCCCACGCTGAGAGAGGTCAGTGTGAGCCCTTGCCTCACACCGGCCCCTCCCACGCGGACAGAGGTCAGCGTGAGCCCCTTGCCTCACACCGGCCCCTCCCACGCTGAGAGAGGTCGGTGTGAGCCCTTGCCTCACACCGGCCCCTCCCACGCGGACAGAGGTCAGCGTGAGCCCCTTGCCTCACCCCGGCCCCTCCCACGCTGAGAGAGGTCAGTGTGAGCCCTTGCCTCACACCGGCCCCTCCCACGCGGACAGAGGTCAGCGTGAGCCCCTTGCCTCACCCCGGCCCCTCCCACGCTGAGAGAGGTCAGTGTGAGCCCTTGCCTCACACCGGCCCCTCCCACGCGGACAGAGGTCAGCGTGAGCCCCTTGCCTCACACCGGCCCCTCCCACGCTGAGAGAGGTCAGTGTGAGCCCTTGCCTCACACCGGCCCCTCCCACGCGGACAGAGGTCAGCGTGACCCCCTGCCTCAACAGGCCACCGTGAGGGAGGAACAGGATCGCACTCGGGCTGCTG
The DNA here is from genome assembly GCF_000001405.40 of Homo sapiens. Lineage (NCBI taxonomy): Eukaryota > Metazoa > Chordata > Mammalia > Primates > Hominidae > Homo > Homo sapiens. The sequence continues at coordinate 14,302 of NT_187539.1, read as the reverse complement.
GGAGGTAGGCAGGGACTTGGGCCTGGGAGGTCGCGGTGGGGCGAGAGCTGGGCCTGGAGACTCCCCTGGGAGGCAACAGCGGGGTCTGCAGACGCCCTTCTCCAGCCGGAGCTGGGACTGTTCAGTCACTGGGAGAAGGGATGTGGGTCTGAAGAGCTTGGTTGCAGAAACTTCGGGGTCTACAAACGCAGGCGGGAGCTGAGCCAAAAGAGCTTGTTTGCTGGGAGGTGGGAGATGCAGCCAGGAGGAACAGCTGGGCAATGCGGGAGGCAGAGCCAGGCCTCCTCAAGTTGGCCTCTCAGACCCACTTGCAGCCTCCCGGCGCCCCCTCCGGGCCCAGCTCTTCCTCCCGGCTGCATCTCCAGGCCGGACTCTGGCCCGACTCCAGGTCCCAACAACGTCTTTGGACTCAGCTCCTGCCCAGCTCCCAGCGGCCCTGGTAGGCCCACAACTTCCCTAAGCCAAGCTCCCCAGGCCCAGCTCAGGCCTCGCGGTGGCCTCTCCAGGCTCAGCTCCTGGCCCTCCGATGACATCTGCAGGCCCCAAATGGCCTCCGGTCGGTGGGCTCCTCTAGGCCCAGCTTGGGCCTCCCGGCGGCCTCCGCAGGCCCAAATCGTCCCGAAGTCAGTCTCTCCAGGCTTAGCTCCAGCCTCCCGGCGGCCTCTGCAGGCCCAAGTCGTCCTCAAGTCGGCCTGGAAGTGGGCCTGGAAGAGCAGCAAGTCGGCCTCCCTGGGCCCAGCTCCGTCCTCTCGACGGCCTCTCCAGGTGCAAAACTTCCTCGAGTCAGCCTCTCCAGGCCCAGCTCCTCCTGCCTCCCAGTGGCCTCTTTCAGCCCAGCCCAGCTCATGGCTCTCGGCGGCCTTCGCAGGCCCTGCTTTTGACTTTTGGCAGCCTCTTCAGGCGCAGAACTTGATCTCCAGTCGGCCTTTGCAGGCCCGGCCTCCTGCCTCTCGAAGGCCTGCACGGGCCCGGCCTCGGCCTCGGCCTCACAGCGGACTCTCCACGCCCAGCTAGCTCTCGCCTCACTGCGGCCTCCCCAGTCCAAAGCTCCTGCCTTTCGGCCACTTCGGCAGGTCCAGCTCCTGCCTGCCAGTGGCCTCTTTAGGCCCAGCTCATTCCTCACGTCGGCCATTCCAGGCCCCGTTTTTCCCTTCCGGCAGCCTCTTGGCCTCTAATTTGTTTATCTTTTGTGTATAAATCCCAAAATATTGAATTTTGGAATATTTCCACCATTATGTAAATGTTTTGGTAGGTAATTTATTTGGAGTGAGTTTCTGCGTCAAGCCCGAGTTTTTTATTTTATTTTCCTTATTATTTGGTGTTAAACAGGTTTAATGACGGTCATGGCAACTTTTTGGCACAATGAAAAATGTCGCCCACGATCAACGTGTTCTGTTCTGGGGAAGGGGGCAAAGGCAGGGTGAATCACTTTCTTAAAAAGTATAGCTCAAGTTGGGAGTGCAGAGGGAATGGGGAGAAAACCCTCCCGCTGCCTGTGTCGAAGTGCAGGAGCCCCCACCCCCATACTCACCTGAGTCCAGCCCCTCTGGGGAAAGAAGGGGTGCATGAACTCCCCCTAGTCCACAGGCGCCTCCCTGTGGCCCAAGGCCCTCTTCACACTCCATCTTGTAGCCCCAGCAGGAGCTATTTTCCGAAAAGTGAAAAGCTCTGAAGGTCCCACAATTCATGGTATGTACAGGGGCTCGGAGGAGGGAAACTGCCCAGCTTTCCCCCGGCACAGCTGCAGGGGTAGGGGGTATAGATAAGAGGAGCAGGCCTTGGCCAGGCGTGGTGGCTCACGCCTGTAATCCCAGCACTTTGGGAGGGGGAGGCAGGCAGATCACAATGTCAGGAGATCGAAATCAGCCTGGCCAAGATGATGAAGCCCCGTCTGTACTAAAAATACAAAAATTAGCCGGACGTGGTAGCGTCTACCTGTAATCCTAGCTACCCGGAAGGCTGAGGCAGGAGAATGGCGTGAACCCGGCGGGAAGAGGTTGCAGTGAGCCAAGATCGCACCACTGCACTCCAGCCTGGGCGACAGAGCAAGACTCGGTCTCAAAAAAAAAAAAAAAAAAAAAAAAAAAAAAAAAGAGGAAGGCCTTACTCCGTCCCAAACTGAAAGGATTAAATGGCTTCACCTGGGAGAAGATAACCATCCTGCCCTCCATTGCTACCCCCACATACTGTCCATGTTCTCAGGGGGTACTGTGAGTCCTGGGATCTTTGGGGTTGCCCACCTGCCTGTGCTAGTTATGGAGACCCCCAGGTGTTGAGGCAGGGCTGGGGTGTCCCCTTCCAACCAGGCTGTCAAGGCCCCAACTCTGGGGCAGAGGCAGTGGCAGGGCAGCCAGGGTTGTGCCAGAGCCTGAGCAGGTTGAGGTGGGGTCAGGCAGGGCTGGGAGTCAGGGCAGGGGCAGCAGCAGTGGACCTGCTATGCACACATCTTCTTCTCCAAGGTTTGTGTGCAGAACATCCTGCCCATGCTGCCCCAGCAGCTTCAGTTGGCACCTGCCTCAGTCCAGCCTCTGGGAACCATGCAGCAGCTCCCAGCGGCCCTGCACCCACCACCAGCATCCGTTTCACCTGCAGTTGAAGATCCGTGAGGTGCCCAGAAGATCATGCAGTCATCAGTCCCACGGAGCAGCCTGCGAGGCTGAGGCTCCTCCCACTGGACCGCCCCCCAACTGGCACCACTGCTGCCCCTGCCCCTACTCTCAGCCTCACGTGACTCTCGGGCAGAAGCAGTGGTGGGGCAGCCAGGGCAGCGTCAAGAGTCTGAGCCAGGTGAGGTGCGGTCAGGACCCCCACAGGGCTGGGAGTCAGGGCAGGGGCAGAACAAACCTTGGAGGGGAAGATGTGTGCATAGTGGGCCTGGAGGGCGGCTGTGGCCTAGTGGACAGGAAGAAGCAGTGGGCCTGGAAGAGCTGCATGATCAGGGCCGGCACTGGTCCAGGGTACGTGCAGTGAAGAGGACAGCGCCTTCTCGGTCTCCGGTTCCCTGAGCCTGTCCTCGGCTTCTCCACCTGTACAGGCAAAGGGGAAGCTGTCCCCATCACACGTGGCACACTTGGGGGTGTTGGGCTTTGGACTGCAGCTGGAGCATCTTCTCATCTTGCATTTGGGCGCGGTGGGGTCCTCCAGTGTGGGATCCATGTCCGTGGGGTTCCCTCTGCCCCGACCCCGAAAGCCCAGTCAGTTTCTCTTCAGGCTCTGCCCCCCGGGTGGCTCAGCCCAGCTCCTGCCTAGGAAAGCCTTAGTATTGGGAGGGACCCTGATGACTGAGGAGCCTGGTAGCTCCAGGTCGCCCACACTTTCAGGTCTCTTGCACCAGAAGGTGGCAGGATCCATTGGGAGGAAACAGGCCACCTTGGAAGGCGTCCCTGGGCCCCCATCCCCAGGGGTTGGGGCCGTAGGGGGCCCGCTCTGCTGCGTTGACCAGACTCCTGGGCTTTGAAGGCTCCTGGGCCCAGTAAGAAGGAGGTGGGTGCCAAGGTTGAGGAGGAAGCATCCGAGTATGTGTAGGAGGAGGACAGGGTGTGACCATAGACTGCCAAAAGCTGCAGGTGGATCGGGGGACCCTGGGGGCTCAGGATCCAGCAAGGGGCGGCAGGAGTAAAGGAGGAAGGAATGACAGGTGCAAATACCTTCCCACCAAAGCCCTTGTTGCCCTCTGGCTCCTCCCCAGAGTTGTCCCCACTCTCAGTCGGTCACCCACTCCTTGAACTTGAGATCGGTGTCGGTGGTGCTAAAGCCATCATCAGCAATGACATCATCACCCCCTCCTCCTCATGGATGACCGTGTGCTCTTCGTCACTCGCTATGACCTCGCTGGCCATGTGCTGGGAATGAGCAGCTCACGTGGGCGGCAGCAGGGCTGCCCACGGGTCACCTCCCTCACCAGGGGCTGCAAAGTGGCCTGGAGCTCCATGCTGAGTAGAAGGCTTTGGGCCAGAGTATGATGCAGTGCCAGACACCACCTGTGTCAGTTCCCGTAGTGCCTGACGGTCTATTTCCCTGCCGTCCAGGCTGTGTACCCCGCTGTGGGAGAAGGCTTGGGCCAGGCTGAGCCAGGTTCCCTGACTGTGTGCAGCCGTTCTGCCCCACAGAAGCTGCTCCTTGGTATCCGAGCTCTGGAGTGTTTGGGCTGCAACTGACAGGAGTTCAGAGGACACCCCAGGGGCAGTGGCAGTGCCCGTCTCTGATATGCTCCGCTCCCACGAGCCCTTGTTACACTCCTGCTAGCCCCTGGCTTGTGGGCTTGGCCTCTGAGCTGGACTTCTTTCGGTCCTTGTTGCAAGTGGGCCACCTTCACCTGGAAGGCCAGGTTGTATTTCTGCATCTCATTGGGCCCCAGGGTGTACCACCGCTCGCTCAGCATCTGGCTGACGGTCCGGTTATCCTGGTTGGGATGACCCTGGTGCGCCCCGCCAGGGCCTGGTGCCGCCTGCTGAAGATCATGAGCGCCACTCATGGGCCACCGGATGTGGTCCTTGTCTGATTTGTTGGGGCTGCGTCCATCCTTCTCAGAAGATGAGTCCTGTTCCTTGCGCAGGGCACTGAGGGACTGGGCCTGACATCATCTGAGTGGTAGAGGCAACTGGGTGTCAGGAGACATGATGGAGAGGAAAGCATCATCATGGTCATTCTCTGTCTCACTGTCCAGCAGGGACTCCCCTGAGGGGCCCAGGGCTCCTCCTCCATGGTGGGAGGTGAGCTTTTACCAGGTTCCACCACCCCCAAAGTGTGTGGGGTTGCGGGCCCTGGGCTTTCAGGGCAGGTGGCTCCAGGGGGCTGCCCAGGGTCAACACTCCCTGTCCCACCTGGTGGACGCTCATGAGCAACGGCTGCCAACTTGGCAGGTTGTTTTCTCTGGTTGGAGGCCACTGAGTGACTGGCAGGTTGCTGGGCCTCGTGTGGCTGCAGGGAGGGGTCAGGAAGGGGATGGAGTACCAGGAGAACACGGCCGCAGAGTGACCTTCCACATTCCTCCACACGAACATGCTGACGCCACGGGAGGCCTCACTGAACGCAGGCCTGGGGGCCGAGCACTTGGTCCGGGCAGGGGGTTCCTGGCAGGGGCTCACACCTCCTCGCCCCCTCCTCAGCCAAGGTGGCTTGGGCCCAGAGAAGGGGAGGTTGGAGAGGAGCAGAAGGCCAGGCCTCAAGTTTTGTTTTTTTTGTTTGTTTTGTTTTTTGTTTTTGAAATGTAGTTTGACTCTTGTCACCCAGGCTGGAGTGCAGTGGCACGATCTCAGTGGCCTTCATACCTGGCTAATTTTTTGTATTTTTACTGGAGGTGGGGTTTTGCCATGTTGGCCAGGCTGGTCTTGACCTCCCGACCTCAGGTGATCCACCCACCTCAGCCTCCCAAAATGGGATTACAGGCATGAGCCACCGCTCCCAACTTCATTCATTTTTACTTGAAAAACTCCGTTAAGCATTTTTTTAAGGTAGACCTAGTGGTCCTGAATGCCCTCAGCTTTGTTTGTCGAGGAAACACATTATTTCTTTTTCCTTTCTGAAGGACAGCTTTGTCAGACATAGTATTAGTTGCTGGCAGTTTTTTTCTTTCAGCACTTTGAATGTATTATTCGATTCTGTCCTGACCTGCAAAGTTTCTTTAACTTTTGACTATTTGATTATATTGTGACTTGGTGAGTATCTATTTGGTTTGAACCTCTTTAGGAATCTTTAAGCTTCATGGATTTAGATGTCTAAATCTTTCCCATGATTTAGGCAGTTGTCAGCCATTCTTTAAATAAGCTTTATTCTCCTTTCTCTACTTTCCTTCTCAAACTCCCATAACCTGACAATGGTTTGCTTAATGGTGTCTTGTTGGCTTTCTTTTCTCTGTCTCTTTTTTTTTTCTTTTTGAGACAGAGTCATGCTCTGTCACCCAGGCTGGAGTGTAATGTGTGGTCTCGGCTCACATTGCACTCCAACCTCCGCCTCCTGGGTTCAAGTGATTCTCCTGCCTCAGCCTCCCAAGTAGCTGGGACTACAGGTGTGTGCCACCACACCCGGCTAATTTTTGTATTTTTAGTAGAGATGGGGCTTTGTCATGTTGGACAGGCTGGTCTTGAACTCCTGACCTCTTAATCTGCCTGCCTCGGCCTCCCAAAGTGTTGGGATTACAGGCTTGAGCCACCACACCCAGCCTTCTTTTCTCTCTTTTATTCTTTTTTTCTCTGTCCTCTGACTGGATAATTTCGGAAGATCTATATTCAAGTTTACAGATTCTCTCTCCTGTTGAAGTTGACTATTGTGTTATATCACCCAGTCTGGTCTTGAACTCCTGGGCTCAAGCGATCCTCCCACCTTGGCCTCCCAAAGTGCTGAGTTTACAAGCATGAGCCACTGCATCCAGTCAGTCCCAGCACTTTGGGAAGCTGAGGTGGGAGGATCACTTGAGCTCAGGAGTTTGAGACCATCCTGGGCAACGTACTGAGAACTTGTCTCTATATTAAAAAAAAAAAAAAGTCTTTGGGAGGCCAAAGCGGGAGGATCACCTGAGGTCAGGAGTTCGAGACCAGCCTGGCCATCATGGCAAAACCCCATCTCTACTAAAAATACAAAAATTAGCCAGGTGTGGTGGCACACGCCTGTAGTGGTGATGCATGCCTATAGTCCCAGCTACTCAAGAGGCTGAGGCAGGAGAATCACTTGAACTGGGAGATGGAGGTTGCAGTGAGCTGAGATCGCACCAGTGCACTCCAGCCTGGGCAACAGAGTGAGACTCCATCTTATAAAAGGAAAAAAGAAAGAAAAGAAAAATTCCATATCTGAGTGTTTACTCCTGAGTTTTTGAGATTGTTATTAAGATCGTGCTCTACTGTGATGATTTGGGTTTGTTTGATAATCAGAAAAAAAGCGTATTCTTTTAGGTGTTCAGCCACACTGCTTTGGTGTCACAACTGCACATTGGTTTCACAGCTGCAGGACAAGTTCGAGCATCTTAAAATGATTCAACAGGAGGAGATAAGGAAGCTCGAGGAAGAGAAAAAACAACTGGAAGGAGAAATCATAGATTTTTATAAAATGAAAGCTGCCTCTGAAGCACTGCAGACTCAGCTGAGCACCGATACAAAGAAAGACAAACATCGTAAGAAGCAATAGTTTCTCTTACTATTCTGAGAGCCTTATCATTCTACATCCCATCTTCCTGTGAGTTTGTCTTTGTAGCATTTAACTCTAATTGCAGTTCTCATTTTAAAAACTGGCTTGCTTATTGTATATTTTCCCCAACTAAAGCGTGAACTCCTAGCAGGGCGTGGTGGCTCATGCCTGTAATCTCAGCACTGTGGGAGGCCGAGGTGGGTCGACTACCTGAGGTTAGGAGTTCGAGACCAGCCTGACCAACATGATGAAACGCTGTCTCTACTAAAAATACAAAAATTAGCTAGGCGTGGTGGCTGGGACCTGTAATCCCAGCTACTTGGGAGGCTGAGGCAGGAGAATCACTTGAACCCTGGAGGTGGAGGTTGCAGTGAGCAGAGATCTCACCATTACACTCCAGCCTGGGTGACAAGAGCAAAACTGCATCTCAAAAAAAAAAAAAAAAGGGGGTGAACTTGAAGGCAGGTCCTGTGTCCATCTTTTCAGATTCTGTATCCCAGCACTTAGGACATAGACAAACACGAAGATGACAATCAATATTTGCCAAAATGAAAAAACAAAAGAAACATGTAACATCATGTAAAAGAAGCTGGTTAGGTGGAGAAATTTATTTACCATAGTCTTGCTTGTGGATCCAGTAGTGACTTTTACAGTTTATATCTAAATAGAAGCTGGAGGCTTTGTTGGGGACTCATAGGCATAAAATATTATTTATTATAGAGTTAAATGCTACAAAGACAAATCTAATTAATAGGCCTATTTTCCTTTTTAAATTCTACTCATAATTTCTTCATAGTTTTTATGATAAAAGGTTGGATTTTGATTAGAACTCCCATGATTTTGTGTCAGAATTAAAACTGGTATTAGAATAAATAATTCAAAAGCTAGAGAAAGAGTACAAAGAGAAGCCATGCATTGCATTTGAATTATAATATTATGTCTTACAGATTTGGGGTATATGCTAAAGTTACCAAAGTTGTAGAAAATAAGGCCGGGCATTGTGGCTCACATCTGTAATTCCAGCACTTTGGGAGGCCGAGGTGGGCGGATCATTTGAGGTCAGGAGTTTGAGACCAGCCTGGCCAACATGGTGAAACTCCGTCTGTACTAATAGTACAAAAATTAGCCAGGCGTGATGGTGTGCACCTGTAGTCCTTGCTACTCAGAAAGCTGAGGCAGGAGAATCGCTTGTACCCAGGAGGCAGAGGTTGCAGTGAGCAGAGATTGTGCCACTGCACTCCAGCCTGGGTGACAGAGTGCTATGAGTCACCACACCTGGTATGAGCCACCGTGCCTGGCCCACAATGACTTTTACACATGTTGTTAAATCATCTTACAGATTTTATAATTTGGGGGAAGAAAAGTTTTACTAAATTGTCTTTTAATGGAAACTCTACAAGAACCAGAATCTTTGCTTTGTTCACTTATGTATCCATTCCTAGGCCTAGAAAAATGTCTGACACATAGCGGCAATTATTCATTGAATAAATGGACCCAGCGATAGTACATTGGCTATGCTATATGCATACATTAAAGATGTAGATTATCGACTTTCAAAAGATAATTAATGTAACTTCTTACTGCTTCTGAACATGTTTGTGAGTTATATTGCTGAGGGACCTTTATCTTCTCATTCTTTCATCTTAACCCAGTGTTATAAAATTGAAATCACCAATATTATTCCATATCTAAAATTAATATCTACCTTGTAAAAAATATCACTCTGCTGCATTTGAGAATAGACTTTTTAGGTAATAATGATGCAATCCATAGGGTTTTTTGGGGGCACAGAGGGATTCATGCTAACAGAACATTTTATTTTCTATTTTCCCAGAGCTGTAAAACATGAAATTACGGTAGTATAAGGCATATTTTTACTCTTTTTATAATTTTTTCTAAAAAAAAATTAGTGTTTGTTCCCTATATAACTTTTAACTTTATAGGTAAATATTTGTTTCTTTCAGCTCCAGTTTTATGTGAAATAGAGTTTTCAGATTTATGTAGCATGGAAAGTTTTAATACGTCAGAGTTACTGATTTTTGCCAATCATTTTCTCAATTATTTCTTTTTTATCTTTAGTTGATTTTTTTGTAGTGACACATTTTGTTTCTAGTCTCATTTCCTTTTGTTTATATTCTATATATATTTCATTTTTGGTTACTATGAGAATTACATATAACATCCTAGAGTTATAACATTTTAATTTGAATTTATTTCAACTTAAGTTCAATCACATACCAAAATTCTACTGCTATATATATAGCTCTACTCTTTTTATGTTATTGATGTGACAAATTATATCTTTATTCATTGTATACCAGCTAACAGATTTACAATTACATTTTATGCATTTGCCTTTTAAATTATGTAGAAAATAAAAAGCAGAGTTACAAACCAAAATTACAATAGGACTGTTTTTATGTTTGTTTATGTATTTACCTTTACCAGAGAGCTTTGTATATTCATACAGCTTGCTTATTTACTTACATAGTTATTGCCTAGAGTTCATTTATTTCAACCTGAAGGACTTAACACTTCCTGAATGTCAAATTCAGGGATAAATGGATTTTTTTCAGTTTTAAAAAAAAATCCGGAAATGTCTTAATTTCTCCTTCATTTTTGAAGGATAAGTTTTCCAGCTATATATTTCTCAATTGACAGGTTTCTTCATTATTTTAAATATATAATCCACTGCCTACTGGCCTTCAAGGTTTCTGCCGAGAAATCAGCTGCTAATGTTATCTGGATCCCTATCTGTGAGAGTTGCTCTTCTCTCTGAGTTTTCAACATTCTCCCATTATCTTTTTTTTGTTTGTTTTTGAGACAAATAATTGTACATATTCATGGGATACAGAGTGATATTTTGATACATGTATACAATGCCCAATGATCAAATAAGGATAATTAGCATATCCATCACCTCAAATATTTGTCATTTATTTGTATTGTGAACAGTCAACATTCTTTCTTCTAGTTTTTTAAATTTATAAACATTTAAATTTTATTACAGAAATTTAAATTTTTTGATTCTGAAAAAGTCATATATGTATGCAACATTTTTTATCATTTATTTATATATTTATGCATCTTTCCTTTTAGTTTTGACAGAGATTTTCTATTTTATCATTATTTCAAAAGAACTCTTACCTGTATTTATTTATCAAGTATATTTCCCTTGTTTTTTCCTAGTATATTAATTTATTTACTTATCTTCTAAAAATCCTCCATATAATCTGTTTATTTTGTTTCCTTTCTATAATTTCTTCAATAATTAGTTCTGTTCTATTTTCCATTAAAATATTTAAATCTTGTATGAATTTTTGTCAGATTAGAAATTTAGGGCGTTTCTTAATTTCTCTATACTCTAGCTTTTGACTTTTTTTTTCTGACCTAAGAGGTATTTAGAGCACATTTTAGATTTTTTATTTTGACTAATCATTTAAAATGTATACTAATCTTCAATTTAAATAAAAAACTGGTCTATAGTGACAAAAATTACAAATGAGCCTAACTAATAAATTATCAGCTGTGTTTATATGTATAAGCATGCACAGATTTTGGTAAATATGTACATAGTATATTGGTGAGCTTATTTTTATCATTCTTAACTCATTGTGTAGTCTAAACGTTGGGGAAAAAATAAAATACAATAATCAGATGGTGTGAATAAGAAAATTGTTCTAATGTTTGTAAACCAAGCAACTGTTTTAACTGCTCCCCTCTTCCTGATTGACTTCTAAAAGGGATTGATCCATATTGGGTCCTATCATATACGTCACGGTATAACATCTCCAGCTATAAAATGGAAATTTGAGAATAACTTTGCTGCTACTCAGATACATTTTATTTCAAAAACATACACTAAGGTGTTGCTGTTGGATCTTTCCAAAAACATATTCACACAGAACTTTCAATCACACTGAGCCATATTTGAACAATCTTTCAAGGTCAGCTCTGGCATAAGCTAACATTATACCATTTAACTCAGAAATTTCTTTAGTATTTGATTAATGGGTTTATGTTTGATATGTAATGTAATTTTCTAATGCTAAATCAAGTGGTAATTTTGTTAGTCAAGTTGATTTAGTGGCTTGGGAAGAAAGCTTTTAATGTTCCCCTAATTTTTCTTACCTTTGACATGATCCTTCACATGTCTTATTTTGCTTAGTGATTTTTCTTTTTTTTTTTTTTTTTTGAGACAGGGTCTTACTCTACCACCCAGGCTTGAGTGCAGTGGTGCAATCACAGCTCATTGCAACCTTGACCTCCCAGACTCAAGCTATTCTTCCACCTCAGCCTCCCAAGTAGCTGGTACTACAGGCACATGCCACCAAACTTGGCTAATTTTTGTAATTTTTGTAGAGACAGAGTTTTGCCAAATTCTCAGGCTGGTCTGGAATTTCTGGGCTCAAGTAATCCTGCCTTGGCCTCCCAACATGCTGATATTACAGACATAAGCCACAGTACCTGGCCAGTTTTCTTTTTAAAAAAATCTATTGGTTATTAATTTGAAGCCTTCCTTTTCATAGCTGTGCTCCTTAATTGGGAGCAAACATGAATGGACCACAACTTAGCCAATTTTCTATATACGATCTTTGCCATCCTAATTTAAAGGAATATTAATTCTTTCTTTTCCTCTTTCATTCCACAAACCTCTATTGACTACATCTAAGTTCTAAATGGTGCACTGGATGTTGAAAAAGTTGATGATGAGCAAGAACAAAATTCCTGCTTTCAGGAGACTTACAGTTCAATATGGGAAATATAATTTGTTAAAATATAAAAGTGCAATTGTGTTACATGCTGTACGAAGTACATGTTGACATGTGAGCATATAATAAATGGGCTGGAGGCCAGAGGATTGCCAAAGAGAATGGGCCTCCTGCTGAGATGAAAAGTTGAGCAGGGATTAGTTGGCGAAAGTGGAGGGACGATCCTTTCTAGGCAGGAGGAAGAACATGTACAGAATCTCTGAGGTGTGATGCGACAAAGTCTATATAAAAAACTGAAGAAAGGTCTAATGTGGCTTAAATACAGAAGCTAGTAGGAGAGGAGTTGAAAAGAGGCTGGAGAAGTAGAAAGTGTCTGCATTCTGCAGGAACTTATATTGTATAAAAAGAATTTCTCTTTATTCTAAGTGCAATGTGAAGCCAATGAAGTGCTTTAAACAGGTGATGTGATTTGATTGAATTTATTACTTCACTTAACAAATATTCATTACATGCCCACTGTTTGTCAGATATTGCTGTAGCCCCTGGTGATACAGTAGGGAATAAAACAGGCAAAAATCCCTGTCCTCTTGCAGCTTATAATGGACTGCAATGTTTAATATGTCAGAGGAGGTCCACGGAGGAGTGACTTCTAAGCAAGAATCTGAAAAAAATGAGGATATCTAAGGAGGGAACAAATGGTTCAAAAGCCCTATAATTGCAAGCAGGCATGATGAAGCAATTGCAGTTGTCCTGACTCTCAACACCGTGGAACTCAAAGGAGATGGAAAGATTCCTTCTCTCCCTCATATATTTTCTCTCTTTCTGTCTATATATATAGAATATGAGACATTTCCCTAATCATTATGTGTAATTACAATTACATATATATATGTAATTGTAATTACACATAATGATTAGGGAAATGTCTCATATTCTTCTACTCAGAAATAAGCAATATAGCAATTACTGTTTTTTACATTTTACAGTTACAGTTTCAGAGAAAGTTTGATATTTATCTAAAATTTTTCAATGTATGAACTTTTTCATTTGACAAACCATAATTGTACATATTCTTGGGATACAGAGTGATATTTTCTTTACATGTATAGAATGTGTAGTGATCAAATCAGGGTAATTTCCACTAATTTAAAATGCCACCTTTATGTTATTGTAATTTATATATATACTATATATATACACACACACATATATATATATACATGTCCACATACAGTGTGTGTGTGCACATGTACACACATGCATATGTGTATATAATGCCCAGTATAAGCAATGTGCACAAATAAAATTAGCTAACAGAGATAGTATAGAGTGAGAGGAGAGGCAGATTAATCTTTGAGGAAAAGCACAATTTTATAGCTGAATGGAGAAAGCTGAGGTGGTTTCTAAGATGGAGAATAAGACAAAAAATGTAAGTACGTTGTTTGACTGAATTCAAGAAAGAAGGGTAAAAGAGAAGAAAGTAGTGGTCTTATCATTAAATGCCACAGAGAGGTAAAGATAAAGACAACATATTGTTTTGGGTTTAGTAATTTAAGGGTGACCAAATTCCGTTTTGGAGGAGGAACAGATTCCATGTCCACTAGAATGGAATGAACAAGAAATGGAGGAGGAAAATAGGTAGTTTTTCAAAAGTTTTCAAAAATATGAAAAGAAGAAATGAAGTGGTACTTGGAAGAGATTGTTGAAATGGGAGAGACTATGGTGGCTTGTTTAGAAGCAGTTGAGATAGATCCAATTGAGATAGAGATATTGACTATATAAACAAAAGAATGACAAATTAATAGTGTAATGGATAACTTGACTTTGGCAAATATTGTGAATTTTTGTGAAAGTACAACTAAAAGGCAATGTCACTCCAATAATCACCAGAGTAATCAATTTGCTTATTGCTGTCCCTTTAAATATAGTTCTCTGGTATCAACTAACATGTTTTTAACTAATGATGCTTCTTAAAGAAAAGGGAAAAGACCTTTTTCTTTCTTTCAGTCTTCAATGATTCACTGCTTCATCTCGCTCCACCAAAGATAAATGAAATCTACATCTCTTATACATTAACAATGCATGACAATTTACAAATAGCTAAATTTTTGGAGCTAACTTTAAGTACCTGAATGGAATTTAATCAACCCACTAATCTCCTTCTCACTTCTCAGTTATTTATCAAGTTTATGTCAAGGGACAAGGAAAAATTATCCAAACATTGTTTAAAACAATCATCATTAATTAGTAACACTTATCCAGGGGGGTTTTTAACCTTTCCCCCACTCAAGGATTATTCTAATGTCAGAGTAGAATAAAAAATAAGTGCAGCGATGCTGACTCTTCCAAGCTTAACATTTCTCACAAGTCAATTAGCTTTGTACTGGGAGGAGGGCGTGAAGGGCTGCTTGCGGTAGTTGTGTAGCAGCAGCACAATGGCCGCAGACAAGGAAAACAGTTTCTAGGAATTC